>NC_000015.10:92653399-92804914 GCF_000001405.40 Homo sapiens | reverse complement strand
GCCCATGCTGGAGTGCAGTGGTGTGATTTCGGCTCACTGCAACCTCTGCCTCCTGGGTTCAAGTGATTCTCCTGCCTCAGCCTCCTGAGTAGCTGGGATTACAGGTGCACGCCACCAAGCCTGGCTAATTTTTGTATTTTTAGTAGAGACGAGGTTTCACTCTGTTGGTCAGGCTGGTCTCGAACTCTGACCTCAGGTGATCTACCTGCCTCGGCCTCCCAAAGTGCTTGGATTACAGGTGTGAGCCACTGCACCTGGCCTCCCATTTATTCTTAGCAGTAACAGTTGGTCCCTGAAATTAGGAAACTGACTCTATTGTGATCTTCCAAGAGCTACATTGTCCAGCCCCTGGGCCTGTACATCCTTATGGAGTGAAGACTGACAGTTTTCCCTTAGGTCAGTGGAGCTACAGTGGCGTGTTGGAGTCAGCTGCTCAGAATGATGATGCACTTTTCTTTCCAACTTTGGTTTCAATGACATCATGTTGGTAGCTTGAAACTGGCCATAGCAGGGGTATTTACACCACAGGAATAGGTAAACACTACATATTAAGGCTTTTCCCCTTGGAGATGCCTTGTTAAATATTTACCAACACTCCACTGCCTGTTACAACACAGCAAAAGCCCCTCTGAGAGAAGGCCAGAGAATGTACCTAACTCCTCCCAGGTTGTCCAGTGTTTCATTGTCCCTGGACTGAAGAGTCCCTCAGTGGCCTTTGCTGAGATATTTCAACACCCTAGTCTCTTAAACTGTAAACAAAGGAGAGTCATGAGTTATTTCTGGGTGAGTCAGTCCAATATTGCACAAGCATTTCTGGGGGTAGTAGAGGGGAGGCAAGAGGGAAACTGGGTAGGCTGGGGAGCTATCTAACTGCCCAAGACACTTGAATCCTAAACAAACGGGAACTAAATGAGAGGTGGGAGGGACATAGTCTTTTCTGACGGGAACTGTCTGTGACTCATTCTCTTTCAGGAGTCAGAAACTCCAAAACCTGTGGGAGTGGGGAGGGGCGAGCAGTGCGGTTTTTAGAGAGGTGTGGAGTTATTATAGGGACTCTTAAAATTCTTCTCCCTTGCTCAGTGTGGTGACTCATACCGGTAATCCCAGCACTTTGGAAGGCAGAGGCAGGAGGTTTGCTTGAGCCTAGAAGTTCAAGACCAGCCTGGGCAATGTAGCAAGACCCCAACTGTATAAAAAATAAAAATAATTAGCCAGACATAGTGGTGCATGCCTGTAGTCCCAGCTACTTGGGAAGCTTAAAAATCTACCTCCATTTAACCTGGTAGATTTGGGGATGTGTGTGGTGGGCTGAATAATGGTCTCCCAGTGATATCCCAATATGTGGAAACTGAATGTTACTTTATCTGGCAAAAACAACAAAAACCAAAACACAGGCAGGGCAAGGTGGCTCACACCTGCAATCCCAGTGAGACTCTGTCTCAAAGAAAAAAAAAAACAAAAAAACAAAACCCCAACAACTAGGGCTTTGCAAATGTGCAGGTGTGTAAGTTAAAGATCTTACTTTTAAAACAATTTTATTTTAGGGTGTGGTGGCTCACACCTGTAATCCCAGCACTTTGAGAGGCCGAGGTGGGCAGATCACCTGAGGCTGGGAGTTCGAGACCAGCCTGACCAGCATGGAGAAACCTTGTCTCTACTAAAAATACAACAAAGTTAGCCGGGTGTGGTGGCTCATGCCTGTAATCCCAGCTACTTGGAAGGCTGAGGCAGGAGAATCACTAGAACCCAGGAGGCGGAGGTTGTGGTGAGCCAGGATCGTGCCATAGCACTCCAGCCTGGGCAGCAAGAGCGAAACTCCGTCTCAAAAAAAAAAAAATTATTTTATTTTATTTTATTTTGAGATGGAGTCTTGCTTTGTAGCCCAGGCTGAAGTGCAGTGACATGATCTCGGCTCACTACGCCCAGCTTAATTTAAGGATCTTGATGCCGGGCACGATGGCTCACGCCTGTAATCCCAGCACTTTGGGAGGCCGAGGCAGGTGGATCACTTGAAGTCAGGAGTTCAAGACCAGCCTGGCCAACATGGTGAAACCCCACCTCTACTAAAAATTCAAAAATTAGCCGGGCATGGTGGCACATGCCTGTGGTCCCAGCTACTTAGGAGGCTGAGGCAGGAGAATCACTTGAGCCCGGGAGGCGGAGGATGCAGTGAGCCAAGACTGCGCCACTGCACTCCAGCCTGGGAAACAGAGCGAGACTCCATCTCAAAAAAAAAAAAATATCTTGAGATGGGGAGATGATTTTGGATGATCAGGGTGGGCCTTAAGTGTTATCACATGTATCTTCCTAAGAGGGAGGCAGAGGAAGGCTTGTCTACACACACCAGAGAATTTCTGCCACAGAGACTGGAGTGAAGTATCATCCATGAAGCAAGGAACTCCAAGGACTGCCACCAACACCAGAAGAAAAAGCCATGGAACAGAGGGTCTCCTCTGGAGGCTTCAGAAAGAGCATGGCCCCAGCCGGGCATGTTGGCACATGCCTGTAATCCCAGCACTCTGGGAGGCCAAGGTGGGTGGATAATTTTGAGCTCAAGAGTTCAAGATCAGCATGGGCAACATAGCAAAACTACATCTCTACTAAAAATACAAAAAGATTAGTTGGGCTTGGTGGCACATGCCTGTGGTCCCAGCTATTCTGGAGGCTGAGGTGGGAGAATTGCTTGAGCCTGGGAGGAGGAGGTTCCAGTGAGCCGAGATTGCGCAACTGCACTCTAGCCTGGGTGACAAAGCCAGACCCTGTCTCAAAAAAAAAAAAAAAAAAAAAGAACAAAAAAGGAAATGAGAAAACCTAGACAGAAAAGATGGAATAGCTCATTCAACCTCACAGAGCTGGTATAGAGAAGCAGGATTTGAACACTGATCACTAAGTAGAGAGATGACTAGGTAACCCCAACTGATAGGATTAGTAAGGACATTTTCTGGAGAAGAGATCCTTATAAGGCATTCAGAAGAGCAAATGGAATTTCTAGGGGAAATGCTGGGAAGCCCATTCCAGGCAGTGAGCTACTGCATGAGAAACGGCAAAAACACGTCTGTGGGAGAAAGCTGAGTGCAGCAGGGTGTGGCCTGTTGTTTGGTGTGGCTGGAAGATAGGGGAGAAGGGCCAGAGACAAGGCAGAAAAGGACAGTAGGGGCCTGTGCCCCGAAAGCTGGGGCAGGGACTCCTCTCAACCAAGGTGCTCCAGGGTCCCCTTCAGCAGCCTGGAAGAAGGAGCCAGGGAACCTTGGAGGCCTGGCCACAGCAGTGCAGGGTGATGGTGCCATTGAGTAGGACCTGTGTCTTCCTGCATTTATCTCCCCAGCATTCCTGTGGCTTTCATGCCTTGGAGTTGGTTTGCCTGCCAGAAGGGAAGTTCTCGCAGCTGTCGGCTCTTAAATCCAAGGAATTGGCTGGGCGTGGTGGTTCGCGCCTGTAATCACAGCATTTTGGGAGGCTGAGGTGAGTGGATCATGAGGTCAGGAGATCAAGACCATTCTGGCCAACATGGTGAAACCCTGTCTCTACTAAAAATACAACAATTAGCTGGGCGTGGCGGCGCATGCCTGTAGTCCCAGCTACTCGGGAGGCTGAAGCAGGAGAATTGCTTGAATCCAAGAGGCAGAGGCTGCAGTGAGCCAAGATCGTGCCAGTGCACTCCAGCCTGGGCGACAAAGCAAGACTCCATCTCAAAAAAAAAAAAAAAAAAATTCCAAGGATTTGTGCGAAGCTTCCAATTAGTCATCAGCAATTTTCAACCTTTATAAGATGAAAAAAATTTTAGAAGCTTATATATTACAGTAAACCTAGGGAGGAACTGGATTTTAGTGCATCTTCTACCTTGGAGGGCAGTAGGGCAAATGAAAATATTATAAGTGGGAAGAGACTAAGGCAACGTCTTCACTAAAACAACTGTTTGGGGCCGGGTACGGTGGTTCATGCCTGTAATCCCAGCATTTTGGGAGGCCGAGGCAGGAAGATCACCTGAGGTCAGGAGTTTGAGACCATCCTGGCCAACATATGAAACCCTGTCTCTACTAAAAACACAAAAATTAGCTGGGCGTGGTGGCGGGCGCCTATAGTCCGAGCTACTCGGGAGGCTGAGGCAGAAGAATCACTTGAACCTAGGAGGCAGAGGTTGCAGTGAGCCAAGATCACGCCACTGCACTGTAGACTGGGTGACAGAACTAGACTCTGTCTCAAAAATAAATAAATAAACAAATAAAACGAAAAAACAAAGAAACAAAAAACTGGATTGCTTAAGCCTGGGAGATCCAGTCTGCAGTGAGCCATGATCACACCATTGCAAGCCTGGGCAACAGAGATGCCCACTGATCACTAAGTAGAGAGATGACCAAGCCTGGGCAACAGAGATCCTGTCTCAAAACAAAAACAAAAATAAAAACAAAAACAAAAAAACCAAAATACAACAAAAAACTTCCCCCAAAACCCAAAAAATGGAAAAAACTTCTCGATATGCTGGGTGTGGTGGCTCACACCTGTAATCTCAGCACTTTGGGAGGGTGAGACAGGAGGATCACTTGAGCCCAGGGGTTTGAGACTAGCGTGGGCAACATAGCAAGACCCCCTGTCTACCAAAAATGAAAAAAAAAATTGGCTGGGTGTGGTGGTGCACACCTGTAGCCCCACCTACTTGGGAGGCTGAGGAGGGAGGATCACTTGAGCCCAGGAGGTCAGGGCTGCAGTGAGCCATGTTTGCACTACTGCACTCCAGCCTGGGTGATAGAGCAAGATGCTAACTAAAAAAACCCCAAAACCATAAAACAAACACAAAACTTTTTGTGATGAAAAAACCCAAACCCTGAAATATACAAAAGTGGAAAATAATGTAATGAACTTCCATGTACCCATCACCCAACTTTAACGATTCTCAACTAATCACCAGTCTTGCTTAATCAATATTCACTCCTGCTGCTGTCCTTACTAGTTATTTCTATTTTGTTTGTTTGTTTTGTTTTTTGAGATGGAGTTTTGCTCTTGTTGCCCAGGCTGGAGTGCTATGGCACGATCTTGGCTCACTGCAACCTCTGCCTCCTGGGTTCAAGTGATTCTGCTGCCTCAGCTTCCCAAGTAGCTGGGATTGCAAGCATCTGCCACCACGCCCAGCTAATTTTGTATTTTTAGTAAAGATGTGGTTTCTCCATGTTGGTTAGGCTGATCTCGATCTCCCGACCTCAGGTGATCCACCCGCCTTGGCCTCCCAAAGTGCTGGGGTCATAGGCGTGAGCCACGGCCCCCTGGCCTGGTATTTCTATTTTTATATGCCCTAATATTTCTTATTTAGAAACATTTGAAGCCTATTAAAACATTACAAGAGTCTCGGGCTGGGTGCAACGGCTCACGCCTGTAATCCCAGCACTTTGGGAGGCTGAGACCGGTGGATCATGAGGTCAGGAGTTCAAGTCTAGCCTGGCCAAGATGCTGAAACCCTGTCTTTACTAAAAATACAAAAATTAGCTGGGCGTGGTGAGACACACCTATAATCCCAGCTACTCGGGAGGGTGATGCAGGAGAATCGCTGGAACTGGGATGGCAGAGGTTGCAGTGAGCCAAGATCGTGCCACTGCACTCCAGCCTCGGCGACAGAGCAAGACTCCATCTCAAAAACAAAAACGAAAACAAAAACAAAAGCATTACAAGAGTCTCATCTGAGGCCAGGCGTGGCTTCTCATGCCTGTAATCCCAGCACTTTGGGAGGCTGAGGTGGGTGGATCACTTGAGGTCAGGAGTTCGAGACCAGCCTGACCAACATGTTGAAACCTCATCTATACTAAAAATACAAAATTACCTGGGTGTGTGGGAGACTGAGGCAGGAGAATTGCTTGAACCTGGCAGGCAGAGGTTGTGGTGAGCTGAGATCGTGCTCCTTGGGTATAAATCTCCCCTTGTCTTTGTTGAAGTCAGGGTTGAGTCCAATCTCTCGTCCCCACTGCAAGACCCTGTGGCAGTGGTCCCTACACCTATCACTGTGGCCCCTTTTGGATAAAGTCTGCCTTAGCACCTTTTAACAAATGTCATAAATAATAATTTTTCTTTAACATTCTTTTTTTTTTTTTTTTTTTTGAGACAGGGTCTTGCTCTGTCTCCCAGGCTGGAGTGCAATGGCACGATCTCGGCTCACTGCAACCGCCGCCTCCTAGGCTCAAGTGATTCTTGTGCCTCAGCCTCCCAAGTAGCTTGGACTACAGGCATGCACCACCATGCCCAGCTAATTTTTGTATTTTTATTAATTTATCTATTTATTTATTTATTTTGAGACCAAGTTTTGGTCTTTTTGTCCAGGCTGGAGTCCAGTGGTACAATCTTGGCTCATTGCAACCTCCGCCTCCTGGGTTCAAGTGATTCTCCTGCCTCAGCCTTCCGAGTAGCTGGGATTACAGGCACGCTCCACCAGCCTGGCTAATTTTGTATTTTTAGTAGAGACAGGGTTTTGCCATGTTGGCTGGGCTGGTCTTGAACTCCTGACCTCAAGTGATCCACCCGCCTCAGTCTCCCAAAGTGCTGGGATTACAGGTGTGAGCCACCACACTCGGCCTAATTTTTGTATTTTTAGTAGAGATGGGGTTTCACCATGTTGTCTCAAGCTCCTGACCTCCAGTGATCTGCCTGCCTCGGCCTCCCAAAGTGTTGGGGTTACAGGTGTGAGCCACCGCACCTGGCCTGCCTCTCTCTCTCTCTTTTTTTTTTTTTTGAGACGGAGTCTCACTCTGTCGCACAGACTGGAGTGCAGTGGCACGATCTCGGCTCACTGCAACCTCCGACTCCTGGGTTCAAGCAATTCTCTGCCACAGCTTCCGGAGTAGCTGGGATTACAGGTGCCTGCCACCACGCCCAGCTAATTTTTTTGTATTTTTAGTAGAGACAGGGTTTCACCGTCTTGGCCAGGCTGGTCTTGAACCCCTGACGTCGTGATCCACCTGACTCAGCCTTCCAAAGTGCTGGGATTACAGGCGTAAGCCACCGCGCCAGGCCTTTTTTTTTTTAAGAAAAAAAAAAAAAAAAGACAAAACTTCCCAACTTGAATAAGGCTCCTGAGGCATGCAAGCCCTGGCCTCTGCATGTCCCTCCAGCAGCAGGCCCCAGCCTGCTCCTGAGCCTTTGGCAAGCTCTTCTTGGGGACCCCGTTTCCACCCCTCACCTCTCGTCTATCTGCCTTGGATCTTGGCTCCTTCATCTTTTTCTCATCTGCTTCTCAGGGACACCTTCCTTTCCCCGCATCAGGCTGCTTCTTCCTTATGTACTCTCACAGCACTTACTATGCTGTGGTATCTTACTGGTGTGATTCTTTGTCCGTTTTCCTACCTACCCCTTAAGGTCTGTGTGCGCAGGTACTGTGTCTTCCTTGGCTGAGCCTAGTATCCTAACTGCCTGCTGTGGTGCCTGACACATAGTAGGCATTGAATACATATTTGCTGAATGAAATAATGAGTAAAAGCTAGGTAATAGAAATAATACTTAGGTCTAAGAGGGACCAGTCTTTTTTTTGTAGTTGTTTAGCTACTTCATTTTGTTAAAAAGGACATCTTAATAACTAATTACTTAGTGCCATTACTGCCATCTAGTGGTGACTGATGTTATTATACTGCTGGGTCCATTCTCAATGATGTTACTGTACTGGCAGAGAAGGGAATCAATATATGCAAGATATCTGTTGAGTGTTTGCCTTGTTTCAGGTATTGTACCAGGAAGTTTACAGCAGTACCTGCTGGTTACGCCAGCAAAGGGAGTGTAAGCTGCTTTCCCATGGTCACCATCTAAGGAGGAGACCTGAATTCAACTCCAGGAGACCGTCTCTGTTTTTCTTTTCTTTTTATTTTTTTGAAATACATTTCTTTATTTTCATTCCCATATAGCAGAGATGGAACAAGGATAGTGATGCTGGAAAATCCTGCTTTGATCAAATCATCACATAAGTTAACGTCAGAAAACCTGTATTTGAATCTGACTCCTCTATCCTTGCCCTGGGAAATTGGACAGATTGACCCAGTTGCTGTGAGGGCTGAATTAGATGATGCTGAAAGTGCTTGGCCTGCAGTGGATATGCAAAACAATAGCTGTTATTTTAGACAGTCTCCAAGCAGGGAAAAAAGTCTTCATGCCTTCTAACTAATCATACAAACGTATGCAGTGTGTTTAAACTCTGGCTTCAGAGTTTAACAAATACAAATCTAATCGAAAAAATTAGTCAAACTCTATGAACAAATTTATAACTAATACAAATCTAATCGAAAAAACTAGTCAAACTCTATAAACCTAACTTGATTTTAAAATTCTAGTGGCTACAACACTCAATAATGTTTTCACATTGTTTGTGAATCCATTCCATTGATACATACAAAGATGTAGGAGAAACCATTTCAGATCCTCTGGGAGGACGACTTTGGTTATCTTATGATGCTGCTGGATTCCAAAGCCCTTCTGATTTCTAGGCATAACTGCATCAAAAGAAGGGGGCCCTTCTCTCTCCAAGAAGAGCTGGATCAAAGGGCTCTCTGGAGGCACCAGCTCCACATGACATTTGCCTTCAGCATTCTTGGCCTGGGTGTCTGCTCCAAAATCCATGAGCAGGCAGGCCAGCTCTTCACTGGCTGTCCTGGCCACTGCATGAAGTGGGGAATCCTTCATGAGGGCCTTCATGAAGGCCACTGCATGAAGTGGGGAACCTCTCCCTGGGTTCAGGTCTGCTCCTGACTCCAGAAGCTTCTTGACACAGGCTATCTGCTGGTTTTCACAAGCCAAATACAGTGAAGTGCCCACGTGGCTGATGTTATGGTCATTTTTGCCCCTATAAGCTGTAAGAGAGTCGACACACTCCACGTGGCCTCTCCTAGCAGCTTCATGGACGGGGGATGCCAGATCACTCTCAGGTTGAACGCTGGCTCCATGCTGCAGAAGCATAATCCCAGCTGCTGCTGATACAAACATTAAACAGTGGAGTGTGCCAGTCTGTTGTCACGCCATTCACCTGAGCTCCATGCTTTAATAAAATCTTTACACGAGAGGGATGACCTCTGAGACAGGCTTCATGGAGTGGGGAAACATGATCTGCCATGATGATGTTCACAAGCCACCCGTGGCTGATGAGGTTCCTCAGAGACAGCTGATGTCCGTAGATTGCAGCTTCAGGCATAGGAGACCAATCAGACACAGAATCACCCATCAATGGGTTTGAAAGAAGCCTGGTGTCAGGAGAGTCTCTTGGCCCCGTGGGCTTGCTCCCATCCATGCCCCCTTGTTTGCCATCCATGCTGCCCTCTCCTAAGCGAGCAAGCTCTGCGCTCCACTTCAGTTGCTCAGCAAAGTCCAAACTCCATGCTCCCCCTGCTCCTGAAAAATTCCAGTTCTGTGGCTGGCTGAGCTGCACACGTCCTAGTCAAATGGTCTAACTGGCTGGAGGCCCGCCAGAGGCCGCCTGTTTTTTTTTTTTTTTTTTTTTTTTGAGACGGAGTCTCGCTCTGTCGCCCAGGCTGGAGTGCAGTGGCGCAGTCTGGGCTCACTGTAATCTCCGCCTCCCAGGTTCACACCATTCTCCTGCCTCAGCCTCCCAAGTAGCTGGGACTACAGGCGCCCGGCTAATTTTTTGTATTTTCAATAAAGACGGGGTTTCACCGTGTTAGTCAGGATGGTCTCGATCTCCTGACCTCGTGATCCGCCTGCCTCGGCCTTCCAACATGCTGGGATTACAGGCGTGAGGCACCGCGCCCAGCCAGCCACCTGTTTTTTTCTTTTTTTTTAAAAGAGTCTTGCTCTGTCACCGTTGCCCAGAGCTTGAGTGCAGTGGCATGATCATAGCTCATGGTAACCTCGAATTCCCAGCCTGTAGCGGTTCTCCCCACTCAGCCTCCTGAGTGGCTAGGACTACAGGTGTGTGCCACCATGCCTGCCTAATTTTTAATTTTTGTAGATCTTGCTATATTGTCCAGGCTGGTCTCAAAATCCTGGGCTCAAGTAGTTGGAGAGGGCCAGAACAAAACGCTCCTTAATGGCAACAGATATATTTTGTTTTGTTTTTGTTTTTTGAGACAGAGTCTTTCGCTATCCCCCAGGCTGGAGTGCAGTGGCAGGATCTTGGTTCACTGTAACTTCTGCCTCCCAGGCTCAAGTGATTCTCGTGCCTCAGCCTCCCCAGTATTTGGGATTACAGGCGTGTGCCGTGACTAATTTTTGTATTTTTAGTGGAGACGGGGGTTTTGCCATGTTGCCCGGGCTGGTCTCAAACTCCTGACCTCAAGTGATCTGCCTGTCTCTGGCTCCCAGAGTGCTGGGATTACAGGCATGAGGCACCATGCCCAGCCGACATATTTTGTAAACAGGGAGAAAAATAGGTGGTTCTTAAAATTTCAGTAAAATGTTCACATTCTTTCTTATATAACAACAGAGGACCACTGAGTGCCCTCACCTTGAAGACCCCAGGACACCTGGATACACAGGATTTCTGTATGGCTTCTTTATTTTATTTTTATTTTTTGAGATGGAGTCGCTCTCTGTCACCCAGGCTGGAGTGCAGTGCTGTGATCTCGGCTCACTGCAACCTCTGCCTCTCGGGTTCGAGTGATTCTCCTGCCTCAGCCTCCCAAATAGCTGGGACCACAGGCGTGTGCCACCACGCCTGGCTAACTTTTGTATTTTTAGTAGAGACGGGGTTTCACAAAGTTGGCTGGGCTGGTCTGGAACTGCTGACCTCAAGTGGTCTGCCTGCCTCTGCCTCCCAAAGTGCTGGGATTACAGGTGTGAGCCACCACGCCCGGCCTCTGCCTGGCTTCTTATAGATGGTTTCTCTTGGTGTATGTTTCCTAGGCTTTTTGACTTTGTGGACTAGAAAGCTCTGGTCTCCAAGTCCCTACAAACTTCTGGATCTTCTACAGATTAAACATTTTAACAGTCTTCATAAAGTGCATTTGAAATCTAAGGTAAACATTCATTACCTGTACACCAACCACCTCAAAGGTTTTATGAAATAAGATGGAATATACATAAAATGCATGAGACAGGTGTACTTTGCTTTATGTGTTTGTGACACGTTCACACAAGTAAATTTTTAAATTTTTGGTGAGGAGATAAATTTGGCAATTTTTTTTTTTTGAGACAGAGTCTCACTCTGTCACCCAGGCTAGAGTGCAGTGGCGTGATCTCTGCTCGCCGCAATCTCTGCCTCCCCGGTTTAAGCAGTTCTCCTGCCTCAGCCTCCTGAGTAGCTGGGATTACAGGTGCATGGCACCAAGCCCAGCTAATTTTTTTTTTTGTATTTTTAGTACAGACAGGGTTTCATCATGTTGGCCAGGCTGGTCTGGAACTCCTGACCTCAGGTGATCCACCTGCCTTGGCCTCCCAAAGTGTTGGGCTTACAGGCATGCCCCACTGCTCCCCGCCAGGCAATTTTTTTTTTACCAAGAGTAAATTCAAAGGAGCCTGAGCATTAGTTTTAACAGGTAAGTCGGGTAGAAGATCAGGGAGCATGCCATAAGTGGCATGTACACTATATTATAAAGAGGAGTGGTTTTAAACCTTTTTTTTGAGACAGCGTCTCCCTCTGTCATCCAGGTTGGAGTGCAGTGCAACCTCCACCTCCCAGGCTCAAGCAATCCTCCCACCTCAGCCTCCAGAGTAGCTGGCACTACAGGTCATGCTACCATGCCCGGCTAATTTTTTGTAGAGAAGGGGTTTCACCACGTTGCCCAGGCTGGTCTCAAACTCCTGACCTCAAGTCATCTGCCTGCCTCAGCCTCCCAAAGTGATGGGATTACAGCAGTGATCCACCAGGCCCAGCAGTTTTAAACTTGAACTTACATCTGTGCTTGTTAAAGCACAGATTCCTAAGCTCCATCCCCAGAGATTCTGATTCAGTAGGGCTGGGGCCAGGCCTAATATATATATATATATATTTTTTAGACAGAATCTTGCTCTATTGCCCAGGCTGGAGTGCAGTGGCACGATCTCAGTTCACTGCAACATTTGTCTCCCGGGCTCAAGAAATTCTCCTGCCTCAGCCTCCCAATTAACTGGGATTACAGGCGTCTGCCACCACGCGTGGCTAATTTTTGTATTTTTGGTAGAGACAGGGTTTCACCATATTGGCCAGGCTGGCCTCGAACTCCTGACCTTAGGTAATCCGTCTGCCTTGGCCTCCCAAAGTGCTGGGATTACAGGTGTGAGCCACTGCGCCTGGCGAGAATTTGAGTTTCTAACAAGCTCCTGGGGGATGTGAATGCTGCTGGCTCAGGGATGGCACTTGGAGAACCATCAGAGCAATGAATTATGCCCTGACTTACAGTAGCCTGTGTCCTGCTTCCTGTCTTTTTCTGGAGAGGTAAAAATTGAGGTAGCCTCCCTGTTACTTGTTCCCCCTTTGAAAGAAAGCAGGAGAGAAGGATTTCTTTTCTGCTTTAGTCTCTATGCCTCATGTCTTTTTTGTTGTTGTTAAAAAAAAAAAATAGAGACGGAGTCTCCCCATGTTGCCCAGGCTGGTCTTGAACTCCTGGGCTCAGGAGATCCTCCTGTCTCTGCCTCCCAAGGTGTTGGAATTACAGGCGTGAGCCACCGTGCCCGGCAGTTTGCCTCATGTTTTATCCAGCATGACAAAAATTGGGCAGCGGTCAGTGTAAGAGGCAATGGTGAGTCCCCTTTCACCTATGGATCTGTGTCTGGTTCCTCTTCATATTCTGGAAGCCCTAATAAATGTCCACTATGGCCAGGTGAGAGATCTCAGACTGCCACAGGCCTGAGTGGTTGTACTTTGGAGATGTCTTTGGCTAGCCTGTGTAGGTATGTGCGTTTGCGACCTGTGATGGAGGCTGTCATCGCCCTGCCAGGGTTGTGGTTCCTGTCTCCTCTCCTTCTGGCTTTCTACCTGGCTCCCTCTAATCCAGTTTCCAAGTGGAAGCCAGAGCCCACCTAAAACACAGGATAGGAGGTCTGTGTGCTACATACATCTTTAGTTGCTCTTGCTTCTTAGAGAATAGAATCTCTTCTTTAGCAGGGTACCTGAGGTCTTTACCTCTGGTCTCTGTTCACTTCGTCTTATCTCTGGTTCAGCTTTTTTGGTTTTCCACATCCTGAACTTAATGCCTATAATGTCCTCATGTCATTTCTTTGCCTATTTAATTTCCTTTTGTCTTTCTTAGTCCACAGATAAGTCTTTACATAAATCTCTGTGTGATTCTGGCACATATAGTTTTATTGAATGATTGAACAAATGCATGAATGAATAAATAAGTATACAGGAAATTGATTTTTAAAAAGCTGTAGTAAAATACATATAACATACAATTGGCCATCTTAACAATTTTTTTAACCTTTTTTTGTTTTTTTTTGAGATGGAGTTTTGCTCTTGTTGCCCAGGTAGGAGTGCAATGGCATGATCTCGGCTCACTGCAACCTCTGCCTCCTTGGTGCAAGTGATTATATTGCCTCAGCCTCCCGAGTAACTGGGATTACAGCCATGCGCCACCACGCCCGGCTAGTTTTGTATTTTTAGTAGAGACGGGATTTCTCCATGTTGGTCAGGCTGGTCTGAAACTCCCCACCTCAGGTGATCCACCTGCCTTGGCCTCTCAAAATGCTGGGATTACCGGCATGAGCCACCTCGCTTGGCATCTTTTTTTTTTTTTTTTAGTCTTGCCTCTGCCTCTTGGGTTCAACTGATACTCCTGCTTCAGCCACCTGAGTAGCTGGGATTACAGGTGTGCACCACCACGCCCAGCTAATTTTTGTATTTTTAGTAGAGACAGGGTTTCACCATGTTGTCCAGACTGGTCTTGAACTCCTGGCCTCATGTAATCCACCTGCCTCGACCCCCAAAAAGGCTGGGAGGATTACAGGTGTGAGCCACTGCTCCCGGCTATCTTAACCATTTTTTTTTTTGAGATGGAGTCTCGCTCTGTTACCCAAGCTGGAGTGCAGAGGCACAATCTCAGCTCACTGCAGCCTCTGCCTCCCAGGCTCAAGCGATTCTCCTGCCTCAGCCTCCCAAGTAGCTGGGATTACAGGTGTGCACCACCACACCTGGCTAATTTTTATATTTTTTTTTAGTAAGAGATGGGGTTTCACCATGTTGGCCAGGCTGGTCTTGAACTCCTCACTTTAGGTGATCCACCCACCTCGGCCTCCCAAAGTGCTGGGATTACAGATGTGAGCCACCATGCCCGACCAATTTTTTTTTTTTTTTTTGGAAACCGAGTCTCGCTGTGTAGCCCAGGTTGGAATGCAATGGCGCAATCTTGGCTCACTGCAACCTCTGCCTCCCAGGTTCAAGTGATTCTCCTGCCTCAGCCTCCCTAGTAGCTGGGATTACAGGCATGCGCACTACCACACCCAACTAATTTTTGTATTTTTAGTAGAGACAGGGTTTAGCCATGTTGGCCAGGCTGGTCTTGAACTCCTGACCTTGAGTGATCCGCCTGTCTTGGCCTCCCAAAGTGCTGGGATTACAAGCGTGAGCCACAGTGCCCAGTCTGATGTGCTATTTTCTGTATGTTCTTTTGTATCTTTCACATTTTGTGCCAGGCGCTATGTATTTCCTATTTTAAAATAATGTTGAAAAGAATGCAAATAACCTGTCCGGTGGGAGAAGTGATTAATTTTTGCCCGATTTTACACAGAGAGGGAGGCTTTGTGGCCTAGAAATAAATATTAAGTCAGTAAGAAAAACCCTAAATTAAATTAAACTTGGTTGGTTAATTTTCTTGACTCTCAGGAAAGGTTAACCATCAGTCTGAGT
The DNA here is from genome assembly GCF_000001405.40 of Homo sapiens. Lineage (NCBI taxonomy): Eukaryota > Metazoa > Chordata > Mammalia > Primates > Hominidae > Homo > Homo sapiens. Next base: position 92,790,177 of record NC_000015.10, on the reverse strand, counting down.
CTTTGACTGCTCCAGGGATTTTTAAATAACTGTATCTTATTCACAATGTAGTGATTAGATCTTTTTAGTATTCAGAAATTGACCTGAAAATGCCCCATACAAATGCATTTAAGGGCAAAATCTCATTTTTATACAATTTCTCTTAGCAGCTGCTCAAGTGCAAGCTTCTGAGTTTCCGTTTCTTCTAAACTGTCTATAGCAGCAAGGAAAAGCGCTTTAAGATGAATTTGACAGGCCAGGCGCGGTGGCTCACATCTGTAATCCCAGCACTTTGGGAGGCCGAGGTGGGTGGATCAGGAGGTCAGGAGTTCGAGAACGTCCTGGTTAACACGGTGAGACCCCGTCTCTACTAAAAATACAAAAATTAGCCGGGCGTGGTGGAAGGCGCCTCTAGTCCCAGCTACTTGGAAGGCTGAGGCAGGAGAGTCGCTTGAGCCCAGGAGGCAGAGGTTGCAGTGAGCCGACATTGCGCCATTGCACTCCAGCCTGGGGACAAGAGCAAGACTTCGTCTCAAAAAAAGAAAAGATGAGTTTGATAGCTTTGTCCTAATACATACTTATGTCTGGATCCAAAGGGGACAGTGTCTCTAGCTCAGGGGGCGATGGATGGGCCTTCCTGCAGAGTGGATGTTTATTGATTACTAAAGCATCTATTTGAGTTAATCACTATCATTTTCATCATAGTCTCATTGGTGTTTGAGCAGTGTAAGAATATCAGCTCAGCTTTGAGCTGGATTTCACCCTGTATTAGTTCATTCTCACATTGCTATAAATAACTACCTGAGACTGGATAATTTATAAAGAAAAGAGGTTTGGCCTGGCGTGGTGGCTCATGCCTGTAATCCTGAGAGGTGAAGCCAGCTGGACTTCTGGGTCGGACTTGGAGAGCTTTTCTGTCTTACAAGAGGATTGTAAAATGCACCAATCAGTGCTCTGTAAAGACACACCAATCGGCACTCCGTGGCTAGCTAGAGGTTTGTAAAATGGACCAATCAGCACTCTGTAAAATGGACCAATCAGCACTCTGTAAAGTGGACCAACCAGCAGGACATGGGCGGGGACAAATAAGGGAATAAAAGCTGGCCACCCCAACCAGCAGCAGCCCCTGGCTTGGGTCCTCGTCTAAGCTGTGGACGCTTTGTTCTTTCGCTCTTCACAATAAATCTTGCTCACTCTTTGGGTCCGTGCCGCCTTTAAGAGCTGTAACACTCACCGCGGAGGTCCGCGGCCCCGTTCTTGAAGTCAGCGAGACCACGAACCCACCAGAAGGAACCAACTCCAGACACAATCCCAGCACTTTGGGAAGTCAGGGCAGGCGGATCAGGAGGTCAGAAGATCGAGACCATCCTGGCCAACATGGTGAAACCCCATCTCTACTGAAAATATAAAAATTAGCTGGATGTGGTGGCGCATGCCTGTAATCCCAGCTACTGGGGAGGCTGAGGCAGGAGAATCCCTTAAACCGGGGAGTTGGATGTTGCAGTGAGCTGAGATTGCGCCACAGCTCTCTAGCCTGGCGACAGAGTGAGCCTCCATCTCAAAACAACAACAACAACAAAAACCAAAAGAAATGAGGTTTAATTGACTCACAGTTCCACAGGTTGTACAAGAGGTGTGACTGGGGAGGCCTCAGGAAGCTTACAATCATGGTGGAAGGATGAAGGGGAAGCAAGCACGTCTTCACATGGCAGTAGGCGGGAGAGTGAGTGAAGGGAGAAGTGCTACACACTTTCAAACAACCAGATCTCATGAAAACTCACTATCACAAGAACAGCAAAAGGGAAATCCACCCATGATCTAATCATCTCCCACCAGCTCCCTCTCGCAACATTGGGAATTACAGTTCAACATGCGATTTGGTGGGGACACAGAGCCAAACCATATCACACCCCATTCAAAGCTATGAGATTATAAAATGGTCCTTCTCCTGTCACTCAGCTGACTGTAAATTCATGCTGGCACATCCACACCACGGCAGACAGGTGAGTGACTCCTATGTGCTTTGGACATTTGTGACAAATAACTTTTCTGTTTCAGATATTCCAACTTAATAAAAAGGTAATATACTCATTATGTTCCTGTTTCCCAGAAGACACTGCTTGGGAGTTCTGTTCTGTCATCAACGGAGCTGTGATGACCGTGGATGTCACTGGTAGTGGCCAACATTTCTGCAGCTCCTTCTCAGTTACATCCTCAACACAAACTCCTCACCAGGTATGATGGTTTTCAGGATCTGATCCCTGTCCCATCTCTGTTCTCATTTCTTCACGTGCCCACACCTTCATAGTAATGTCTCCAGCTTCCTAATGACTCTAAGTTTTCTGAGCACATTATAGTTTTCTTTATTTCTGGCCTTACCTTTTATTTTCCTCAACTGCTAGGATGTTCTTCACTGTCCCACATTGCCTGGTGAACTATTTCTCAGAGCCCGGCTTAGGTGGGGGTAGGGGGGCCTTTCACTGTAGGTCAGAGCAGGTGACCCTCTAAGGCTTTCGTGGTTCCTTGTGATGGACATTTTGGTGGCTCCTTCTACCCACTGCATTATAATTGCTTGCTTGTATTTGTTGTATTGCCAACTCCTCTGGCCAGTGATTCTCAAACTCTTCTAGTGAGCATCAGTATCCAGGGGTTTGTTAAAGCCCAGAGTGCTGGGCGCCACTCCAGAGCTTCTGATTCAGTAGGTGTGGGGTGGAGCCTGAGAACTTCATGTCTCAGAAGATTCCCAGCTGATGCTGATGGTGCTGGTCTGGGGACCACACTGTGAGAACGCTGCTCTAGGGCAATAACGGGGCTTTTGTTCTTGGTCTCCATGTTCCTAGCATCCAGCCCACCTTGGTATAGAGCTGAGAGTCAACAGGTGTTTGTTACTGTTGAATGAATGAGTGCAAAGGGGGTTATGTTGGGTACTGAATACCCCAGGAGTTACCATCACATGCAGAAGAGAAATCTGAACAATTGCAGAGAATTGATGATGAAGATGGTGGGGGAGGTGGTAGTGCCTGGGTAGTGCCTGGCACATGGGAAAAACTCAGGAAGTACATGAAATCGGAGGAGGAAGGAGTGTGAATAAGGTGGGAGATTCAGGGAGAAGTGAGGAGGCAAGAGGGATGAGAAGTAGACCCTTCCAGGCACCTTGAATTAGGGGTTTAACGCATTCGTTTTGCGACTTTTTAATTTTTTAATGGAAACTTTTTAAGGCTGCAAACTTTTCTCTAAGGGATATTTTTGTGATAAGCCAGTCATCTCCGAATGTAGTTATTTTGTCGTGGTTCCGTTCTAAATATTTTGAAATTTCTATTATGATTTCTTCTTTGATCCATGCGTTATCTGGAAATGTATTTGAAATTTCCAGTCATATGGGTTTTTTTCTTGCTATTTTCGTGTAATTGTTAACTGCATTGTGGTCAGACTATGAAGTCTGCATAATGTCAATCGTTTGACATCTTCTTTGAGCAGACCTTACAGGTCTAGCATGGGGTTACTTTTTGTAAAGGTTCTCTGTGTTCTTGAAAACAGTGTGCATTTTCCACTTGTAGGCTATTGTGTTCCACAGGTGTCTAATGGGCAAGTTTGCTAATGGTACCATCTTTATTATCTTTATTCTTATGAGCCTTACTATATTTTTTTTTTTTTGAGGTAGGGTTTTATTCAGGCTGGAGTGCAGCGGCAGGATTATGGATCACTGCAGCCTTGACCTCCCCGGCTCAAGTGATCCTTCCACCTCAGGCTCCCAAGTAGCTGGGACTACAGGGGCACACCACTACACCTAGCTAATTTTTTTATTTTTTGTAAAGACAGGGTTTCATCATGTTGCTCAGGCTGGTTTTGAACTCCTGGGCTCAAGTGATCCTCCTTCCTTGGCCTCCCAAAGTGCTGGGATTACGGGGGTGATTCACTGTGCTCAGCCTGAGTCTTATTATATTCTCGCTCTTTCTTTGTCAGATCTATCGATCTATTACTGGGAGAGGAGTGTTAGAATCTCCCATTATGATGGTGGATTTATCAAGTTCTCCTTGCAGCTATGTTAATTTTTGCTTTATGTGCGTTAAAAGTTAGACTCACTTCTTTCTGATGAGTAGAACCTTTTATTATGTTGTTTCCTTGTCATTGCTAGTAATTCTCTTTGTTTTGCAGCCTGTTTTGTTTGATAATGTAGCAATATAAACTTTCTTTTAGTTAGTATTAGCCTGCTATAATATTCTCAATCTTGACACCCTTGACTTTTCTGTGTGTCTGTGTCTTCCTTCCCTCCCCTCCCATCCTTTCTTTTTTTTGTTTTTTTGAGATGGTGTCTCACTCTGTCACCCAGGCTGGAGTGCTGCGGTGCAATCTCAGCTCTCTGCAACCTCCGCCTCTTGGGTTCAAGCGATTTTCCTGCCTTAGCCTACCAAGTAGCCGGGATCACAGGCACGTGCCACCACGCCCAGCTAATTTTTGTATTTTTAGTAGGGATGGGGTTTCACCACGTTGGCCAGGCTGATAATTGAACTCCTGGCCTCAAGTGATCTGCCTGCCTTGGCCTCTCAAAATGCTGGGATTACAGGCGTGAGTCACAGTGCCCGGCTTTTCTTTCTCTCTCTCTCGCTCTTTCTCTCTTTTTATTTCTCTCTCTCTCTCTGTGTGTGTGTGTGGCCTCTCTTTAAAATAGCAGCTATATCTAACTTAAAAAAAGTCTAGTCTGAAAAATCTTTGCCTTTTAATTTGAAAGTTTTTCCCTTTAAGTTTACTGCAATTGTTGATTTATTTGGATTTATTTTCTACCACCTTATTATAGTCTATTGTATTTCTTCTGCTTTTTCTGTTTGCTCTTCTCTTCCACCACCACCTACCTCTTGGCTGATTAATGGTTTTGTTTTTCCTCTTCTTCTAGTTTTTTCTTCTTAGAATAACTATTCTATGTCTCTATAAGAATATCTATTCTTTTGGTGGTTACCTTAGTTATTCTGAGGTACATACTAAATAAAATTTAAGATTAATGAATTTCTAAGTTCTTTCAGATAGACCTTAGAATGTTTTAGATCAGCATCTTCAAATTGGAGTATTTATGTGTATGCATTCTGCAAGGTGTATGTGGATTTGTTTTAAGGAAATACATTTCCAAATCTCCTTTTTTTTTTTTTTGAGACAGTCTTGCTGTCACCTAGGGTGTAGTGTGGTGGCGTGATCTTGGCTCACTACAACCTCCACCTCCCAGATTCAAGTGATTCTCTTGCCTCAGCCTCCTGAGTAGCTGGGATTACAGGTGTCCACCACCACACCTGGCTAATTTTTTTTGTATTTTTAGTGGAGACGGGGTTTTGCCACGTTGGCCAGGCTGGTCTCGAACTCCTGGCTTTATGTGAATTGCCTGCCTCAGCCTCCCAAAGTGCTGGGATTACAGGCATAAGCCACAGCGCCTGGCCCAAATCTCCTATATTTATATGCACTCTTTTCTAAAATTGATCTGCCTTGGGAACTCTCCTGCGATAAAGTTGCAGTTTCCTTTCCCACTTCTTTCATAATCTCCCTTTTCCTAACTCTTGTCTATCCTGAATCTAACGATAGTACATTGGCCTAGGTGTACAAACCTTTAAGCTACCAATAAAGCTTTAATTAAAAAATATTGGCAGCTTGCTGGGTGCGGTGGCTCGCGCCTGTAATCCCAGCACTTTGGGACGCCGAGGCGGGCGGATCATGAGATCAAGAGATCGAGACGATCCTGGCCAACATGGTGAAACCCTGTCTCTACTAAAAATACAAAAATTAGTCGGGCGTCGTGGTGCAAGCCTGTAGTCCCAGCTACTCAGGAGGCTGAGGCAGGAGAATCACTTGAACCCAGGAGGTAGAGGCTGCAGTGAGCTGAGATCGCACCACTGCACTCCAGCCCGGGAGACAGAGCGAGACTCTGTCTCAAAAATATATATATATTTGCAGCCGAGTATAGTGGCTTACCCCTGTAATCCCAGCCTTCGGGAGGCAGAGGCAGGAGGATTGCTTGAGCCAGGAGTTGAGACCAATCTGGGAAACATAGTGAGACCCCGTCTCTACCAAAAAAAAAATAAACAAAAATTAGCTGGGTGCAGTGGTGTGTGCCTGTAGTCCCAGATACTTGGGAGGCTAAGGCAGTAGGATTAAGTGAGCCAGGGAGGTTGAGGCTGCAGTGAGCCATGATTGCACCCCTGTACTTCAGCCTGGGCAACAGAGCGAGACCCCCTTGCCCCCAAAATATGTATAATACACACATATAACATATATATGTATATATGTAACACACACATATAACATATATATGTATATATGTAACACACATATAACATATGTATATATGTAACACACACATATAACATATGTATATATGTAATACACACATGTAACATATATATGTCTGTATATATAGTTAAACAAAAATATTATATAAAATATATACACGCTAGATTTTCTCTTAAAAAAATTTTACATTTTTTTACACTGTTTTTTCTTTCGTTCTTTGTGGTTTGTGTGTGTGTGTGTGTGTGTGTATGCAGCAAAGCGAAACAGTGATATTGGGATTGCAGCAAATGAAAGTGAATCATTTATTGCAGGGCACCAAGCAAGGAGAATCAGGCAGCTCATGCTTAAGATCCAAACTTCCTGATGGCTTGTAAGCAAAGGTTTTTAAAAGCAGGGGAAAATTTCAGGAAAGGAGAAGTTACAGGCAAAATTGTAAATGAATACATGGAGATTATACATTGGTTTGGCCTTAGAAGATGGAATATCTCGAAGCAGGGTTAGAGGGTGGTGCTTAGAGGTCCTAGGTAGATTCAAAGATTTTCTGATTTGTAGTTGGTTGAGGAGGAGAAGCTTTCTTTAAAAAGCTGGGGTCAGCAGCAGAAGATGTGAGCACTGCCTTGTGGGTGTGACTTCCTCCAGGCCTCTCAGGAAGAACTTCAGGACAAAGAATGGTAGTCAAAGTGCAGTCCTCAGTTTGCCCCTTAGCTGAGGTCTACGTGCCAGCGGATCCATTTGGTGGGAGTTCTGAAAAACTCAGGGACATATGTTAAGTTGTTACGTAGGGAACCAACACCTTGTGACTCTAACTTCCTTGGCTATTGTTTGAAGCTACTGTTAACTTTCTTTTCTTTTCTTTTTTTTCTTTTTTTTTTTGAGACGGAGGAGTCTCGCTCTGTCGCCCAGGCTGGAGTGCAGTGGCGTGATCTCGGCTCACTGCAAGCTTTGCCTCCTGGGTTCACGCCATTCTCCTGCCTCAGCCTCCCAAGTAGCTGGGACTACAGGAGCCCGCCACCAGGCCCGGCTAATTTTTTGTATTTTTAGTAGAGATGGGGTTTCACCGTGTTAGCCAGGATGGTCTCAATCTCCTGACCTCGTGATCCGCCCGCCTCGACCTCCCAAAGTGCTGGGATTACAGGCGTGAGCCACCGCGCCCGGACATTTTTTTTTTTTTTTTTGAGAGGGAGTTTCACACTTCATGCCCAGGCTAGAGTGCAATGGTGCAATCTCGGCTCACCGCACTGTCCGCCTCCCGAGTTCAAGTGATTCTCCTTCCTCAGCCTCCTGAGTAGCTGGGATTACAGGTATGCGCCACCACACCTGGCTAATTTTTTGTATTTTTAGTAGAGACAGGGTTTCACCATTTTTGTCAGGCTGGTCTCGAACTCCTGACCTCAGGTGATCCACCTGCCTCGGCCTCCCAAAGTGCTGGTATTACAGGCGTGAGCCACCGCACCTGGCCTATATTTGCATTTCTAAGGGACTAAGTGGGAAGTGGGGAACCAGGGGAATGAGAAAAGAAGGGAGAGAAACAAACTATCTCTTAGAAAAATGAGGGGCACTTGGTTACAATTCCTCACTCAAATCAGAGGTTAAGAGTTCATATGTGTCACCAGGAGCTTGTCACCAACAAGCTGGGTTCTTGGCTGCCAGAACCAAGCCACTTCTACTGACTTTGGCTGATAGATGCAGAAGCACTTGTTCTTTTAACAAAGGCTTGTGGACGTAAGAAAGGCTCAGTGTCACTTTCCAGATAACCCAAAGAAATATTTATTCCTGGCTCTGAGCAGGTGGCAGAAGTGGAAGAAGCTGAGATGTGGCTGTGAGTCCTGACTTCACTGCTGTCCAGCGGAAAGAGTCTGAGCAGTCTAAACCCGAGGTTTCGCCAGTGTGAAATGGGGCTAATTATATAGACATATGGGTTTTACAAAGTTTTGACAAATCAGAACTTTTGTTTTATATGCTGGGTTGAAATCAAGGACCTGCTGGGTCTGTTCCTGCTACTTGTGGTTGGGTGGGGGAACAGAGGATAGAGAAGAAACTGTTCATCTCAGGTTGGAACGTGCCAGGTCTTCAGCCTTCCAGTGGCTTTTTAAAAAAACATTTTTATTTATTTATTTTTGAGACAGAGTATTGCTCTGTTGCCCAGGCTGGAGTGAAGTGGTGCAGTCTCGGCTCACTGCAGCCTCCGCCTCCCAGGTTCAAGAGATTCTCATTCCTCAACTTCCCGAGTAGCTTGGATTACAGGCATGTCCACCACAGCCAGCTAATTTTTTTTTTTTTTTTGAAATGGAGTCTCACTCTGTTGCCCAGGCTGGAGTGCAGTAGCGTGACCTCAGCTCACTGCAACCTCTGCCTCCTGGGTTCAAGGGATTCTCCTGCCTCAGCCTCCCCTGTAGCTAGGACTACAGGCGTGTGCCACCATGCCTGCTAATTTTTGTATTTTTAGTAGAGACAGGGTTTCACCATGTTGGTCAGGCTGGTCTCGAACTCCTGAGCTTAGGTGATCCGCCCACCTCGGCCTCCCAAAGTGCTGGGATTACAGGTGTGAGCCACTGTGCCTGGCCTTTTTTTGTGTTTTTAGTAGAGACGGAGTTTCGCCATGTTGGCCAGGCTGGTCTCGAACCCCCGACCTCAGGTGATCACTTCAGCCTCCCAAAGTGCTGGGATTACAAGCATGAGCCACCAAGCCTCGCATATCCAGTGGCTTTTGATGGCTGAAGTGCAAGTCACACCCCCTCTCTGAATTGCACCAGGCCTACAATTCACCAGATTTGCCAGGCTGGGTGGAAGGATATGTAAATCTGACTCAATTCACAGCCTCTCTTAACACTTCAATCAAAATTGCATCTAATTGAGGTTCATTCATAAACCTCATTGACGTAAACAACTGCAAACATGGAGGAGCCCTCCCCAAAGCTTGATAATTACTTCACGATGAAAACTCAGCTGTCAGAACATCATTGTTGCTATGACAACTATGAGAGAAGCTGGTTGCCCAGGGTTACCCATGTTACCAGATGTCACTGGTGCTTGAGTGTTAGCTTCAAATGAGCCTCAGGAGCATAATGAGAAAAGGCAATGAGAACTATATAAATGGGTCTGAATAAGAGAACGTCTTTTTTTTTTTTTTTTTTAATCTTAAACCCCAATAGATTCAGGAAGTATCTATCTCATTACAGGACAATTGAGTTATATCTTGGAACCAGGGAGTCCTAAAATGACCTATCCTCTAAAAGGCCTTTCTTTCTCTTTTTAAAATTCTTTGTTAAATTTTTAATAAGTAATACACATATGTGCTTCAAGCTTTAAAAAATACAAAAGGCGGCCAGGTGTAGTGGCTCCCACCTGTAAACCCAGCACTTTGGGAGGCTGAGGCAGAAGGATCACTTGAGGCCAGGAGTTCAAGACCAGCCTGGGCAACCTAGTGAGACCCTGTCTCTTCAAAACTAAAAATAAAGAAATTACTCTCTGGTGCTTCAAGCAACATCTCTGGAGAGTCGTGTTGTGTGAATTGGTTTGTATACATTAGTATGTGTATGTATTCACACATTCATATACACTCAGGATACAGTTGGCCTAATTATCATTGGGGCCATAGGTAAAACTTATGAAGAATGTTCTCATGCTGAATTGTAATTTTCTTTTACCTGTAAAGTAAAATTTAGATCAATCCCATGTCTGTGTTTATTTTGAATATCATAGATATGCTGTACATTTAAAGAGGCAATGCTACTGGGATTATGTAGGTTCTAACTCATTTTAACAAGGGCACTGTCAGGCCTCTAAGCCCAAGCTAAGCCATCATAACCCCTGTGACCTGCATGTATACATCCAGATGACCTGAAGCAACTGAAGAACCACAAAAGAAGCAAAATAGGCAGTTCCTGCCTTAACTGATGACATTCCACCCTTGTGATTTGTTCCTGCTCCACCCTAACTGAACAACTGACCTCGTGACATTCCTTCTCCTGGACTGAGTCTCAGGAGCTCCCCACCAAGCACCTGGTGACCCCTGCCCCTGCCCACAAGAGAAAAACCCCCTTTAACTGTAATTTTCCACTACCTACCCAAATCCTATAAAACTGGCCCACCCCATCTCCCTTTGCTGACTCCTTTTTTGGACTCAGTCGGCCTGCACCCAGATGATTAAAAGGCTTTATTGCTCACACAAAGCCTGTTTGGTGGTCTCTTTACACGGACGTGCGTAACCAGTACCTGACCTGCGTAAGATAACTTGAGGCCAGGCGTGGTGGCTCATGCCTGTAATCCCAGCACTTTGGGAGGCTGAGGCGGGCAGATCACCTGAGGTTGGGAGTTTGAGACCAGCCCGACCAACATGGAGAAACCCCATCTCTACTAAAAATATAAAAAATTAGCCAAGCGTGGTGGTGCATGTCTGTAATCCCAGCTACTCGGGAGGCTGAGACAGGAGAATCACCTGAACCCAGGATGCGGAGGTTGTGGTGAGCCGAGATCACACAATTGCACTCCAGCATGGGCAACAGGAGTGAAACTCCATCTCAAAAAAAAAAAAAAAAAGACTTGAATATTGTATTTCTTAGGACTATACTAATATTCTTCTCACAAAAGGTCTATAAAATATTATTGCTGAAAAGTATTTTGTATCAAAATGTTTGCAGGCTGGGAGCGGTGGCTCACACCTGTAATCCCAGCACTTTGGGAGGCCAAGGCAGGCAGATCACTTGAAGTCGGGAGTTTGAGACCAGCCTGACCAACATGGAGAAACCTCATCTCTACCAAAAATACAAAATTAGCGGGGTGTGGTGGTGCATGCCTGTAATCTCAGCTACTCAGGAGGCTGAGGCAGGAGGATCACTTGAACTTGGGAAGCAGAGGTTGCAGTGAGCCGAGATCGTGCCATTGCACCATTGCACTCTAGCCTGGGCAACAAGAGAGAGACACCATCTAAAAAAAAAAAAAAAAAAAAGCTTCTCCCTAACCTGTATTGATATTCACTTGAATTATTATTTTCTAAAATTAAGAGCCCTATGACTACCTGTAAATCTTTTCACATATCATTTAAAAGTTTGTATTATTATTATTGATTTACAGCTTAATTATTATTTTTTCTTTACAGGGATGCCATTGATGTGCATGCTTTTATGTTTTTCAGAAAAGGGTATGTTTGGATGAAAGTAAAAAAAAATAAAGTAAAATCTTTCACTGTGAAAAAAAAAATTGCAAGGGTGTAGTGGCACATGTCTGTAGTGCCAGCACCTGGGGAGGCTGAGGTGGGAGGATCACTGGAGCCCAGCAGTTCGAGGCTGCAGTGAGCCATGATCATGCGACTGCACTCCAGCCTGGGTGACAGAGTGAGACTCTGTCTCAAAAAAAAAAAAAAGCCAAAGGTATATGGGGAAGTTCTTTTCTCCATCCTTACCCTACCGCACATATGCCCACTTCCTATCTTGCCCCAAAGGTATTTTTGTGCCTATACAAATCAATACAAAATATATTTTTCCTCTGCTTTTTGCGTAAAACAACATATACATGGAAGAATAATATATTATGACATTATATATAATAAAATATATTATGACATATATAATAAAATATGACATTATATATAATATCTTATGACATTATATATAATAAAATATATTGTGACATTATATATAATAAAATATATTGACATTATATATAATAAAATATATTATGACATTATATATAATAAAATATATTGTGACATTATATATAATAAAATATATTGTGACATTATATATAATAAAATATATTGTGACATTATATGTAATAAAATATATTGTGACATTATATGTAATAAAATATATTGTGACATTATATGTAATAAAATATATTGTGACATTATATGTAATAAAATATATTATGACATATATAATAAAATATATTATGACATTATATATAATAAAATATGTTATATGATGAAATATGATAAAATATATGATAAAATATACTATATGATAAAATATATGATAAAATATATATTATATATATTACATATAATATAACATAATATATTACATATAATATAATATAATATATTACATATAATATAATATATTACATATAATATATAATAATATATATCACATATAATATAATATATAATAATATAATATATCACATATAATATAATATATAATAATATAATATATCATATAATATAATATATAATAATATAATATATCACATATAATATAATATATAATAATATAATATATCACATATAATATATAATAATATAATATATCACATATAATATAATATATAATATAATATATCACATATAATATAATATATAATATAATATATTACATATAATATAATATATAATAATATATTATTATATTACATATAATAATATATTATTATTATATTTATTTATTTATTTATTTACTCTGTTGCTAGGCTGGACTGCAGTGGCATGATCTCAGCTCCTGGGGTCAAGCGATTCTTGTGCCTCAGCCTCCTGAGTAGCTGGGATTACCAGCATGCACCACCACACCAGGCTAATTTTTGTATTGTTAGTAGAGATAGGGTTTCACCATGTTGGTCGGGATAGTCTCGATCTCCTGACTTCGTGATCCGCCCGCCTTGGCCTCCCAAAGTGCTGGGACTGCAGGCGTGAGCCACTGTGCCCGGCCTATTTTTATTTTTATTTATTTACTTTTTTGAGACAGAGTCTTGCTCTGTTGCCCAGGCTGGAGTGCAGTGGTGTGATCTCCGCTCACGCAACCTCCACCTCCCAGGTTCAAGTGACTCTCCTGCCTCAGCCTCCTGAGTAGCTGGGACTACAGGCATGCGCCACCACATCCAGGTAATTTTTGTATTTTTAGTAGAGACGGGGTTTCACCGTGTTGGCCAAGCTGGTCTCAAACTCCTGGCCTCAGGTGATCTGCCCGCCTTGGCCTCCCAAAGTTCTGGGATTACAGGTGTGCGCCACCTCACTTGTCCAAAAGAATAATATATTATATACATTGTTCTGCACATTGCTTTTTTATCTTAATGTATTTTGAAATGATCTTATATCAATCCATAGCTTCCTCAATATATATATATATATATTTTGAGATGGAGCCTTGCTGTGTCTCCCAGCCTGGAGTGCAGTGGTGCAACCTCAGCTCACTGTAACCTCTGCCTCCCAGGTTCAAGTGATTCTCCTGCCTCAGCCTCCCAAGTAGCTGGGACTACAGGCATGTGCCACCATGCCTGGCTAATTTTTGCATTTTTAGTAGAGAGGGGTTTTGCCATGTTGGCCAGGCTGTTCTCAAACTCCTGACTTCAGGTGATCTGCCAGCCTCGGCCTCCCAAAGTGCTGGGATAACAGGCATGAGCCAATGCACCTGGCCGCTTCCTCAACTTTTTACAGTGCAAAGTATTCTGTAATTTGGATTTATCAAATTTATTCAACCTGTCTCAATTGATGGACATTTAGGTTATTTCCAGGACTTTGCAATCACAAAGGAGGCTGCAATGATTAGCCTTACATTAATGTCATTTTGCATGTGTGACTTGTCTGTAGAATAATTTCAAGACATAGAATTGCTGGGTCAAAGGGTATATGGATTTGTAATTTTAAATTGCCCTCCATAGATTTTGTACTGATTTTCATTCCCACCAGAAATGTATGTGAGTCCATTTCTCCATAGCCTCAGAATGTTTTGTCAAACTTTTAGGTTTTTGCCAATCTGGAAGGTGAGAAATGGTATCTCAGTAGAGTTAAAATCTGCATATTTCTTGTTATGTACTTAATTTTATTGAACAATCTAGTCATATGCTTTGCTTATTTCTCTACCGGGTTGTTGACCTTTTTTCTTAGGGGGAGCCCTTAATATATTAGCAAGGTTAGCTATTTGTGATATGAATTTCAATTTTTTTCTTCCAATTTGTCTTTTACCTTTGACTTTGACAGTATAGCAGAATGGATTGGAGTACAGGTTCTGAAGCCAGGCCCTCTGGTTCAAATTCCAGTTAGGCAGTAGGCTGTGTGATGTTGGAAATTTACTCTCTATATTTTATTTTCCTCATCTGTAGAATGGGTATAATCATAAGGTTTTGGTGAGGATTAAATGCATAATATATTTGAGGCATTTGGAACAGTGCTCTACATAGAATAAAATGGCCTGTAATCCCAGCACTTTGGGAGGCCAAGGTGGGAGGATTGCTTGAGGCCAGGAATTCAAGACCAATCTGGGCAACATAGCAAGACCTCGGCTCTACTGAAAACAAAACAAAACAAAACAAAACAAAACAAAACAAAACAAAACAAAAATAGTAAACCCTATATTTGATACCAATACCAATTCTTATTTAAATTCTTAATACTTTTACAATTCCTGGATTTTGTGTTATACTTAGAAATGCTTTAAGAAACTTTCCTGGCTGGGCATGGTGGTTCACACCTGTAATCGCAGCACTTTGGGAGGCCAAGGCGGGTGGATCACCTGAGGTCAGGAGTTTGAGACCAGCCTGGCCAACATGGTGAAACCCTGTCTCTACTGAAAATACAAAAGTTAGCTGGGCATGGTGGCAGGCGCCTGTAGTCCCAGCTACTTGGGAGGCTGAAGGAGGACAATCGCTTGAATCCGGGAGGTGGTGGTTGCAGTGAGCTGAGATGGTGCCACTGTACTCCAGCCTGGGCAACAGAGCGAGATTTTGTTTCAGAAAAAAAAAAAAAAAGAAACTTTTCCTGTGCCCTCCTTGGCACTGCCCCGAATCTTTTCACATACTGAGAAGTAGTGTGCCGAGTGGCTATGGGGGCTAGTTTTTTTTTTTTTTTTTTTTTCTGAGATGGAGTTTCGCTCTTGTTGCCCAGGTGGGAGTGCAATGGTGCGATCTCGGCTCACCGCAACCTCTGCCTCCAGGGTTTGAGTGATTCTCCTGCCTCAGCCTCCTGAGTAGCTGGGATCACAGGCATGTGCTTCCACATCTGGCTAATTTTGTATTTTTAGTAGAGATGGGTTTTCTCCATGTTTGTCAGGCTGGGCTCGAACTCCCGATCTCAGGTGATCCGCTCACCTAGGCCTCCCAAAGTGCTGGGATTACAGGCAGGCCTAGTTTTTTTTTTTTTTTTCTTTGAAAGCGGTTTTAAAATATTTTTGCTTTTTTACTTTTTTTTCTTTTTCAACTGTTATTTTGGAATTGAGGTTACGTGAAGTTCTGTCACAAAGGCGTATTGCACGATGCTAGTTGTGGGGTGTGCTTGGGCCTGTCAGCCGGGCAGTGAACATAGTGTCCAATGGGTAGTTGTTCAGCCCTCGCCACCCTCCCTCCTTTCACCCGCTAGTAGACCCCCGTGTCTGTGGTTTCTGTCTTTATGTCCATGTGTGTTCTATATTTAGCTATCACTTATAAGTAAGATGTGGCATTTTGGTTTTCTCTTCCTGAATTAATTTGCTTAGGATGATGGCCTCCAGCTGCATCCATGTTGTTGCAAAGACCATGATTCCATTCTTTTTTTATGGCTGCAAGAGGGCTAGTTCTTTTTTTTTTTTTTTTTTTTGAGATGGAGTCTCACTCTGTTGCCCAGGCTAAAGTGAAATGGCGAGATCTCAGCTCACTGCAACCTCTGCCTCCCGGGTTCAAGCTATTTTCCTGCCTCAGCCTCCCGAGTAGCTGGGATTACAGGCACGCTCCACCACACGTGGCTGATTTTTTTGTATTTTTAGTAGAGACGGGGTTTCACCATGTTGGTCAGGCTCGTCTCAATCTCCTGACCTCAGGTGATCCTTTGGGAGGCCTGCCTCGGCCTCCCAAAGTGCTGGGATTACAGGCATGAGCCATAGCGCCCAGCCGAGGGCTAGTTCTTGAGTCAGACAGATTTATTTCAATAGCAGCTCTGGACACTTACTAGCCGAGTGACCTTGAGGAAGTCATTTCACTTCCCTAAATGAGGATTAAAATGACACTGTTTCACAAGGTGGCAGTGGGAATTGGGACTGTGACTGGCACATGGTGATTGTAAATGAAAAGTAAATGGTGATAACTGCTTTTGTGTGTGTGTGTGTGTGTGTGTGTGCGTGCGTGCGCAAAGTATCAGCCACACTTCAGGGCATTTGCTTTTTGCTTCTCTGTCTTTCCAGTAGTCTGTGAGTTCCTGAAGGTCAGGGACTAGGTCTTGTTTTGTATCCGCAGAGAGATCTGTACAGAAGGACCTCAACGAGTGCTGTTGAATAGGGAAGCAAGTTCAAGGCACTTTAGGGATTACTTAGTTTAGATCATCCTTGGCAGTTGAAAAAGGAGAAAACCAAGGCAAAATGACTTGCCCACAGTCACAGAGTTAGAATAGAAGTTGGAGATTTTTCCATCCAAGGCTCGTTCCACCGCCATACAAGGCAGAAGCTGGGTGGAGGAGGGAAACCTGCCACCTTTGATGCCGTGTTGGCCCCAGGCCAGAAAGAATGGTGTTCAATGTCTGTCATAGCAGGTATCTCTTCCAATCACTGTACAGCGAGGTCTCTCATTCCAACTTCTGAAGCATCATTCATTTTCCTTGTTTGTGGTAGACCCATAGAAACATAAAAAAAGTATAAATTGAAAGTTGGGCCGGGTGCGGTGGCTCACATCTGTAATCCCAGCACTTTTGGGAGGCCGAGGCGGGCGGATCACCTGAGGTCAAGAGTTCGAGACCAGCCTGACCAACATGGAGAAACCCCGTCTCTACTAAAAATACAAAAAATTAGCCGGGCGTGGTGGTGCATGCCTGTAATCCCAGCTGCTCGGGAGGCTGAGGCAGGAGAATCACTTGAACCCGGGAGGCGGAGGTTGCGGCGAGCTGAGATGGCGCCACTGGGACTCCAGCCTGGGCAACAAGAGCGAAACTCCGTCTCAAAAAAAAAAAAAGGAAGTTGAATCAGATTTAATACTTCCGGGCCTTGGTTATTCCATTTCTAAAACAGGAGCAGTTACTCTTTATTCCCTCGTTCATTGAACAACACATTTGTAGAGCCTCTGTGGCCGCAGTCTGGCATCGTGGCGGACACCGTGGCTGCAAAGATGAACAGAGTGAGAGCTCTGCACACAGAGAGCTCAGAGAACTGCAGAGCGACCACCTCGATGGTCCATAAACCACGGCTCACTGTTTGGATTGCCCGGGCTTCACAGCGTGGACACTGAGCTTTGGAGAACACAAAGCGAGGAGCTGTTTGTTTGGCTTGGGGCAGAGTTAGCTAAGCATCGAAGATGTGACATTTGAGCTGCCTTTTGAAGGATAACTAAACGTACCTAGTTTATTGTCTTTGCTGCTGTTTGTAGATCTATCTGGACTGATGATGCCCTTTACGTGACAGGCTTTGTTGGGAGCAGATGCAGAGATTATTCAGAAACTCAGGGATATATACTTTTTTTTTTGAGATGGAGTCTCACTCTGTCGCCCAGGCTGGAGTGCAGTGGTGTGATCTCGGCTCACTGCAACCTCTGCCTCCCGGGCTCAGGCGATTCTCCTGCCTCAGCCTCCTGAGTAGTTGGGATTACAGGCGCCTGCCACCATGCCCAGCTAATTTTTGTATTTTTAGAAGAGACGGATTTTAGTAGAGACCATGTTGGCCAGGTTGGTCTCGATCTCCTGACCTCAGGTGATCTGCCGGCCTCGGCCTCTCATAGACTTCTTTGATGTGATGATGCATCCTCTAGTCAAGGTCTTGCAATCCTTTCCTCAATTTTTGCCCCCCGTGTGAGGATGAACCACTTAGCAAGTAAAAGTACAGGACTTTGCCAAGTGTAGTGGCTCATACCTATAGCCCCAGCACTTTGGGAGGCCGAAGTGGGAGGGTGAGCCCAAGAGTTCAAGACCAGCCCAGGCAACATAGTGGGACCTTGTGTCTGCAAAAAAGGAAAAAAACAGCTGGGCGTGGTGGCGTATACCTGTAGTCACAGCTACTTGGAAGGACTGCTTGAGCCTGGAAGGCCAAGGCTGCAGTGACTTGGAAGGTCAAGGCTGCAGTGAGCCGTGTTTGTACCACTGGATTCCAGCCTGATTGACAGAGCAGGACCCTGTCTTGAAAAAACAAAACAAAACAAACAAAACAAAACGGGACTTCAAGCCAGGTGTGGTGTCATGTGCCTGTAATTCCAGCTACTAGAGTGTGAAGTAGGAGGATCACTTGAAGCCAGGAGTTCAAGGCCAACCTGTGCAACATAGTGAGATCCTGTCTCTAAAACAGAAGCAAAAACAAAACAGGACTCCAATTAATTGGAGCTTCAAGTAAATAATATTGTAACAGAGAAATCTAAGGTAGCTATCTCCATCTTGCTTCTAACCCCACAAGCTACCTGCCTTTGCTCATTCCTGCACATAGGCCGAGATAATCATGAAAATAATTTATAGCTTAGGCTGGGTGTGGTGGCTAATGCCTGTAATCCCAGCACTTTGGGAGGCCAAGGTGGGTGGATCACCTGAGGTCAGGAGTTCTAGACCAGCCTGGCCAACATGGTAAAACCCCGTCTCAACTAAAAATACAAAAATTAGCCAGGCGTGGTGGCAGGCGCCTGTAATTCCAGCTACTTGGGGGGCTGAGGCAGGAGAATCACTTGAACCCGGGAGGCGGAGGTTGCAGTGAGCTGAGATTGCGCCATTGCACTCCAGCCTGGGAGCGAGACTTCGTCTCAAAAAAAGAAAAAAAAAGAAAAGAAAATAATTTACAGTTTAGATATGATGACTATTTCTTTTTTTTAAAAAACTTTTCCTTTTTCTTTCTTTCTTTTTTTTTTTCTGAGTCAAAGTCTTGCTCTATCCCAGGCTGGAGTGCAGTGGTGAAATCTTGACTCGCTGCAACCCTCACCTCCTGGGTTCAAGTGATTCTTGTGCCTCAGCTTCCTGAGTTGCTGGGATTACAGACATGCGCCACCACTCCCGGATGCCTGGCTAATTTTTGTATTTTGAGTAGAGACAGGGTTTCGCTGTGTTGGCCAGGCTGGTCTGCAACTCCTGACTGCAAGTGATCCACCTGCCTTGGCTTCCTGAAATGCTGGGACTACAAGCACAAGCCGTTGCTCTGGGCCACTATTTCTTTTTTGAAACAGATCCCTGAGGGGACAAGGAAGCATGCATACAAGTAACGATGTTATGTTAAAGATTTATAGGCACAAGGTGGCCTGGTTTATGTCATCTGGCAAGTAGCTGATTGTGAACAAGAAGTTCTGCAAACTTCTTGGACCCCTGGTGATGCCCACATATCTGTGGTCACCAGTTACTCCTGACCTTACCCCACAATATAAAAAGAAGCTTGAGGCTGGGTATAGTGGCTCACACCTATAAACTCAGTAATTTAGGAGGCCAAGTAGGGAGGACTGCTTGAGCCCAAGAGTTCAAGACCAGCCTGGGCAACATAGTGAGACCTCGTCTCAACAAAAAAAATTAAAAAATTAGCTGGGCATAGTGGTGCACACCTGTAGTCCCAGCTACTTGTGAGGCTGAGGTGGGAGGATCACGTGAGCCTAGGAAGTTGAGACTACAGTGAGCGTTGGTCACGACACTGTACTTCAGCCTAGGTGACAGAGTGAGATCCTGTTTTTTTTTAAAAAAGATGTTTTCGGCCGGGCGCGGTGGCTCACACCTGTAATCCCAGCACTTTGGAAAGCCGAGGTGGGCGTTCGAGACCAGCCTGGCTAACATGGTAAAACCCTGTTTCTACTAAAAATACAAAAAATTAGCCCGGTGTGGTGGTGCGTGCCTGTAATCCCAGCTACTGAGGAGGCCGAGGCAGGAGAATCACTTGAACCCGGGAGGCGGTCACAGTGAGCTGAGATGGAACCTGACATCACGCCTGGCCGACATTCAGTTTTTTAATACCAAACACAAGCCCCCAACTTTATAGACCTTCAGAAAGAAGGTCTAAAGCTGGATGATAGTCTATTAAGTTTGTGTGGAATATGTATGTTATCGTCCACCTTTTGGAGGATGGCTTCTACCCATTTATAACCCTGGGACACCTGATTTGCTACAAAATCCAAGATTTTTTCCAATTTATAGATTAGCATTAAATTTCATACAACTGGTGTCCCACTACCACCAAGAGTAGGCCCCCAGGAACCCCATGAAAATCTTCCCTCACTGGAAATTAGCTTATCTTTATCTATTTTAAAGTTGGTGCTAATTTTTGTTATTGAACATTTTGACCTCTGATTGTGGGAGCTATTATGGAGACTTTCAGGGGAAGCTATTCAAAAGGCAAGAATGAGCCAGGCCAAATAGCAAGATCTGAACTAGTAAAAAGGCAGAATGAGATCGGGCATGGTGGCGTGTGCGTATAATCTCAGCTACTCTGGAGGCTGTGGCAGGAGAATCACTTGAACCCAGGAGGTGGAGATTGCCGTGAGCTGAGATTGTGCCACTGCACTCCAGCCTGGGCGACAGAGCGAGACTCTGTCTCAAAAAAAAAAAAGCTCTCCCTCTCCCCACGGTCTCCCTCTCCCTCTCCCCACAGTCTCAGTCTCTGTCTCCCCATGGTCCCGGTCTCCGTCTCCCCACGGTCTCCCTCTCCGTCTCCCTCTCCCGTCTCCCTCTCCCCACGGTCTCCGTCTCCCTCTCCCCACGGTCTCCGTCTCCCTCTCCCCACGGTCTCCCTCTCCGTCTCCCTCTCCCGTCTCCCTCTCCCCACGGTCTCCCTCTCCCTCTGTTTCCACGGTCTCCCTCTGATGCCGAGCCGAAGCTGCACTGTACTGCTGCCATCTCGGCTCACTGCAACCTCCCTGCCTGATTCTCCTGCCTTAGCCTGCCGAGTGCCTGCGATTGCAGGCGCGTGCTGCCACGCCTGACTGGTTTTCGTATTTTTTTGGTGGAGACGGGGTTTCGCTGTGTTGGCCGGGCTGGTCTCCAGCTCCTAACCGCGAGTGATCCGCCAGCCTCGGCCTCCCGAGGTGCCGGGATTGCAGACGGAGTCTGGTTCACTCAGTGCTCAATGGTGCCCAGGCTGGAGTGCAGTGGCGTGATCTCAGCTCGCTACAACCTCCACCTCCCAGCCGCCTGCCTTGGCCTCCCAAAGTGCCGAGATTGCAGCCTCTGCCCGGCCGCCACCCCGTCTGGGAAGTGAGGAGCGTCTCTGCCTGGCCACCCATCGTCTGGGATGTGAGGAGCCCCTCTGCCTGGCTGCCCAGTCTGGAAAGTGAGGAGCGTCTCTGCCCGGCCGCCATCCCATCTAGGAAGTGAGGAGCGCCTCCTCCCGGCAGCCATCCCATCTGGGAAGTGAGGAGCGTCTCTGCCCGGCCGCCCATCGTCTGAGATGTGGGGAGCGCCTCTGCCCCGCCGCCCCGTCTGGGATGTGAGGAGCGCCTCTGCCCGGCCGCGACCCCGTCTGGGAGGTGAGGAGCGTCTCTGCCCGGCCGCCCCGTCTGAGAAGTGAGGAGACCCTCCGCCTGGCTGCCCAGTCTGGAAAGTGAGGAGCGTCTCTTCCCGGCTGCCATCCCATCTAGGAAGTGAGGAGCGTCTCTGCCCGGCCGCCCATCATCTGACATGTGGGGAGTGCCTCTGCCCCGCCGCCCCGTCTGGGATGTGAGGAGCGCCTCTACCCGGCCGCGACCCGGTCTGGGAGGTGAGGAGCGTCTCTGCCCGGCCGCCCCGTCTGAGAAGTGAGGAGACCCTCCGCCTGGCAGCCGCCCCGTCTGAGAAGTGAGGAGCCCCTCTGCCCGGCAGCCACCCCGTCTGAGAAGTGAGGAGCGTCTCTGCCCGGCAGCCGCCCCGTCCGGGAGGTGAGGGGTGCCTCTGCCCGGCCGCCCCTACTGGGAAGTGAGGAGCCCCCCGCCCGGCCAGCCGCCCCGTCCGGGAGGGAGGTTGGGGGGTCAGCCCCCCGCCCGGCCAGCCGCCCCGTCCGGGAGGGAGGTGGGGGGGTCAGCCCCCCACCCGGCCAGCCGCCCCGTCCGGGAGGTGAGGGGCGCCTCTGCCCGGCCGCCCCTACTGGGAAGTGAGGAGCCCCTCTGCCCGGCCACCACCCCGTCTGGGAGGTGTGCCCAACAGCTCATTGAGAACGGGCCAGGATGACAATCGCGGCTTTGTGGAATAGAAAGGGGGGAAAGGTGGGGAAAAGATTGAGAAATCGGATGGTTGCCGTGTCTGTGTAGAAAGAGGTAGACATGGGAGACTTTTCATTTTGTTCTGTACTAAGAAAAATTCTTCTGCCTTGGGATCCTGTTGATCTGTGACCTTACCCCCCAACCCTGTGGTCTCTGAAACATGTGCTGTGTCCACTCAGGGTTAAATGGATTAAGGGCGGTGCAAGATGTGCTTTGTTAAACAGATGCTTGAAGGCAGCATGCTCGTTAAGAGTCATCACCACTCCCTAATCTCAAGTACCCAGGGACACAAACACTGTGGAAGGCCGCAGGGTCCTCTGCCTAGGAAAACCAGAGACCTTTGTTCACTTGTTTATCTGCTGACCTTCCCTCCACTATTGTCCTATGTCCCTGCCAAATCCCCCTCTGCGAGAAACACCCAAGAATGATCAATAAAAAAAAATAAATTAAAAAAAAAAAAAAAAAGAAAAAAAAGGCAGAATGAAATAAGGAGATGCTCCACAGACCCAATATAGGCCCTCAGGAGTTTTCAAAGAGGGCCACCTGGTTGTGTTTGAGCAGCATCACTTAAATTTCTTCACCCACAAATCTGCGTAGCTTCTGAACAAGGTGCAGTGGGAAATCCACTTTTTTTGTGACCCCTTTATAACATTCTGTAAGGGTGTACAGTAAATCCTCATTTAACATCATTGGTAGGTTCTTGGAAACTGCAACTTTAAGCAAAATGACTCTAAGAAAACCAATTTTTTTCTCATCAACATTATAATGAAATGAGGCTGAACAAAATGACATTATTTGAGTATCTGCTGTACATTGCATTTTGCTTAAAGTTGCAGTTTCCAAGAACCTATCAACAATGTTAAGTGAGGACTTACTGTATTAACACATTTAGTAAAAAAGGATCCCACTGGATTTAATCCAGTAACATTATACAAGCAATTACTTGTACACACGTAAGTACAATTAATTGTACACACATAAGTACAAGTTCCCAGATCTTGAGTGTGTGATGCCTGGAAGCACAATATACCTTTTGCAGGCATCACTCAGGCGGGTTTTCTTTTTTTTTTTTTTTGAGACGGAGTCTCTCTCTGTCACCCAGGCTGGAGTGCAGTGGTGTGATCTCGGCTCACTGCAAGCTCCGCCTCCCAGGTTCACGCCATTCTCCTGCCTCAGCCTCCCCAGCAGCTGGGACTACAGGAGCCTGCTGCCATGCCCAGCTCATTTTTTGTATTTTTAGTAGAGACGGGGTTTCACCGTGTTAGCCAGGATGGTCTCGATCTCCTGACCTTATGATCCGCCCGCCTCGGCCTCCCAAAGTGCTGGGATTACAGGTGTGAGCCACCGCGCCTGGCCTCAGGCGGGTTTTCTATATTTAGTAATTATTAGCTTATTAATTGGAAAAGTTAGAGTGTTGTTTGTAGCGAGTGCAGGAAATCCATTAGCCATGATGTTTAGAATATCAAGGATAGCTTTCTGCTCTTCCTTTAACATTTTAAGGTGGCTCTCATTGAGAACACAGAGAGGCATTAGTGTTAATTGAATTGTTTTCTGATTTTTTTGCCATTAGCCCATAAACCCAACAATTGCTCTGGTTTTGTGCTAGGGCATTAGCTTGAGCTAAAGCTTGATTATGGTCCTACAGATTTTCCTGTAGGAAAAAGGAAAATATTAGGACAGGAGGAAATGAGGAAAAAAGAAAAAGGCATAAGTCTTTCATGATGGCAGAGAAGTTTTGCTGCCTAATTTTGGGAAAACTTTCCAAGTCTAGTATGCCATCTGCTTCTGGGGAGAAATTTCTCTTGTTACCTTTACCTTAAACTTGCCAACCAGTGTACAGTTCCAAGAATCTGAGCAGGCCCTTTTGAGCTGTGACATAACATTCAAGGCCCTGAAGCTTCACTGCATTGTGGGTGGTGAGAAGAAATTTGTACAGTTCCTTCCAACAAGATCAGGGGGTCTTCCTCTGATGTCATTTCCAGATGACCCAATCTCTAGATTTGAGACTTTGAAAGGTTTGATTGTCCTCAGTTGATGGGTCAGTAAGAATGTCTTTACCTGTTGAAAATACACTTTGGCATAATGCATTAAAACCTTGCAGTATTTAGTCACATGAGAGTTAAGGAGAGCAGGAGATGCAGAAAGTTCTATTATTAGGGCTATGGGCCTTCTAGTGACTACTTTATCAGGGGTCCACTTATGTTTTCCAGTGGGAATGGATCTGATTGCCATTAAAGCTAATGATAGTATCTTTGGGCAAGGTAATCGATTTGACTCAGTTAACTTTGCCAATTTAAGTTTTAAGATGCCATTTGTTCTTTCAACCTTTCCAGGAGGCTGAGAGTGATAGGAACAATGGGAGTGTGTCTGTAACACCTTATTTAACTGCTTTATAACTTGCCCAGTAAAATGAAGTCTCCTATTGCTACAGACTTCTCCAGGGATGCCCTGTAGAGAAAACAGATTTTCTAATAATTTTTTAGCTACTGTCACAACTTGACTTTCCTACATGGAAAAGCCTCTACCCAACCTGAAAACATACAGCTATGACAGGAACATACTGATACCCCATTGAGGGTGCCAACTGAATGAAGTCTATCTGTAAATCTCCAAATGGTGCATTAGGTGGTGGAAATATACCCCCTGAAGTTTTGATTGTTTTCCCAGGACTATGAGTTTGATAAACCAAACATTGGTTATAAACCAGTGTTTTAGCAATTTTAGAATAGTTGCCCCACCCATACTTTTTAATAATTTGGAACATTTTTTCTTTTTTGGAGACAGATTCTCTCTCTGTCACCCAGGCTGGAGTGCAGTGGCGCCATCTTGGCTCACTGCAGCCTCTGCCTCCCAGGTTCAAGTGGTTCTCCTGCCTCAGCCTTCTGAGTAGCTGGGACTACAGGCATGTGCCATTGTGCCTGGCTAATTTTTGTATTTTTAGTAGAGATGGGGTTTCACCACGTTCGCCAGGCTGGTCTTGAACTCCTGACCTCAGGCCATCTACCCTTCTCGGCCTCCCAAAGTGCTGGGATTACAGGCATGAGCCACGGTGCCTGGCCTGGAACATTTTTTCTGTTCCATGATGAGTTATGAAGTGCAGAGCTTTTAACAATGGAAGCTTTAAAGACTCATGTAGGACTAGGTGGCCATCCAGGCCCTCTGTGAGACTGTGCTTCACATTTAATTTATATACTTTTACTTATTTATTTTTGAGAAGGAGTCTCGCTGTATTGCCCAGGCTACAGTGCAGTGATGTGATCTCAGCTCACTGCAACCTCTGTCTCCCGGGTTCAAGTGATCCTCCTGCCTCAGGCTCCGGAGTAGCTGGGATTACAGGCAGGTGCCACCATGCCCAGCTAATTTTTGTATATACTTTTAGATATCAATTTTGTTTTTCCAAATTAGGTGCATTAAACTGTTTATTAAATAGGTCATCAAAAGGGAGTAGTTGACTCGTATTAATCTTATGGAGTTCATCCAAATTGTATATGCCAACAGTTTCAGCACTAGCTGATTTAGCATTAAAATCTGCTACGGCAGTTCCTTGATATTCAGTTTAGTTTTACAGTATGGGCTTCAATCTTAATAATGGCAATCTGTGACAGTAACAGGAAAGCAGAAAAAAATTCATCTAATTGGAGTCCATTTTTGATGGGGCTCCCACTAGAAGTGAGAAATCTTTATTGTTTCTTTAACATGCAAAAAATCACATACTACTCAAGAAAGATATACATTATCCGCATAAATATTTACCAACTTGTCATTAGCTATATAACAAGCTTGGATGAGAGCAAAATCTCCTTAGGTTGAGCTGCCTTAAATTGAGGAAGAGCTCCCTTCTCTAGTAACTCATTTTGGGTGGGAATGGCACATCTTACCTATTATTTTCCTTCCAAATTTTTGGCGTAGGACTCATCAACAAAAAGTATTAACTCTGGATTATCCAACAGAGTAAACATGAGGCGTTGCTATTACTTTTTTGTTTTTTCTTTTCTTCTCCCTCACCTCCCTGTTTTTTTGCTGTTGCAAAAAGCTTTATTTCTATTTGGTCCAAGGCATGGAGAGGGCTCTAGGGTGGTTAAAAAGCTGCCCAGTGGCTGGAGGGAGAGTCTCAGGCAGAAGCCCTGATGCTTTGAGAGGGGCCCTTCTGGAGTTGCTGGGTTCAGTAGGCTCCTAGATGTGCTTAAGGTTGAGCCTTTCAAAGAGACACTGGTCCAGTCGGCCTGGGGGCCAGACAGCCTGAAGAGGTTGGTCGGGTGATTGCCCATCTTTTTAATGAGTTTCACTTCCTCATCTATGAAGACGCTCTTTAGGAAGTCACAGAGATGGGGGTCTGTGTAGGCAGAACCCCGGGCCTGAAGCTCCAAAAGGGCCTGGATCAGGTTCTTCTCCAGGACTGTGGTGGCCTCCATGGTGTCCAGGGTTTTACTCCATTCATCTTTAAAAATATTTTGGCTGGACACGGCGGCTCACGCCTGTAATCCTAGCAATTTGGGAGGCCAAGGTGGGCGGATCACGAGGTCAGGAGATCGAGACCATCCTGGCTAACACAGTGAAACCCTGTCTCTACTAAAAATACAAAAAAATTAGCCGGGCATGGTGGCAAGCGCCTGCAATCCCAGCTACTCGGGAGGCTGAGGCAGGAGAATGGTGTGAACCCAGAAGGCGGAGCTTGCAGTGAGCCAAGATCATGCCACTGCACTCCAGCCTGGGCGACAGAGAGAGACTCCATCTCAAAAAAAAAAAAAAAAAGAAAAAAAAAGAAAAAAGAAACAACTTTTTTTTTCTAATTTCTAATTTTTGTGGGCACATAGCAGGTGTATATATTTATGTGGTACATGATATATTCTGATACAGGCATGCAATGCATAATAATGGCATCATGGAGAATAGGGCCCCACTCATGTTGAGATGGCTGCTGGATGTCTTGGAAGACAATGTGGCTCCCATGCTGGTTTTGCGTCTTCAAGAGACACTTGGTGTCCTCGTGCCTTTCCTTGGACAATTTGTAGAAAAAGTGGCCCATGCTTTCCAGAGCCACATGTCTGCAGTTGAAATAGAAGGCCAGAGAGAGGTAGGTGTAGAAGGCCTGCAGATGCCAATTGACCAGGTGGTTGACAGCTGTCTCCACCTTGGTAGAATAATTCTGATGAATCTAGGAGCTCATGGTTGGTCAGAAAAGGAGCTAACCACAAAAATGGTGTTGGCTGGTCCCAGAAGCAGGAGGTGGCAGAGAAGATGGTCTGGAGGTTGCAAGTGGAGGGGAGATTGGAGAGGAGTCAGAGGCTGGAAGATAGGGAGGCTGGGTCTGGTCCATCCAAACACTGTTTTTTTTTTGAGATGGGGTGTCTCTCTATCGCCCAGACTGGAGTGCAGTGGCGCGATCTAGGCTCACTGCAACCTCTGCCCTCTGGGTTCAAGTGATTCTTGTGCCTCAGTCTCCCAAGTAGCTGGGATTACAGGTGCATGCCACCATGCCTGGCTAATTTTTGTATTTTTAGTAGAGACAGGGTTTCACCATGTTGGCCAAGCTGATCTCGAACTCCTGACCTCAAGTGGTCCACCTGTCTCGGCCTCCCAAAGTGTTGGGATTACTGGCGTGAGCCACCACGCCCGGCCAAAACACTGTTGAAGCAAGAGACAGATCCACAGTACAGCAGAATGCACTGCCCACTATTTCTTTTTTGAGACAGTCTTGCTCTGTCGCCCAGGCTGGAGTGCAGTGAATCTTGGCTTACTGAAACCTCTGCCTCCCGAGTTCAAGTGATTTTCCCGCCTCAGCCTCCTAAGTAGGTGGGATTACAGGTGCATGCCACCATACCCGGCTAATTTTTGTATTTTTAGTAGAGACAGGGTTTTGTCATGTTGGCCAGGCTGGTCTTGAACTCCTGACATCGAGTGATTTGCCTGCCTTGGCCTCCCAATGTGTTGGGATTACAGGCGTGAGCCACTGCACCCAGCCAGCTTCTGATACTACACTCACACAACTGTGATCTTCACCATTGTCAGGCAGAGGTAAATGAATAGCAGGGATAAGCAGGTTGCAGCATTTTAGATGGAGAGAAGAAAGAGACAGGAGAAGAATTTCATAAGATGTTAGTCTACTTGCTGAAAAATGCTGAGTTTGGTTGGAATTTAGTAGACTTTCTACAGCATTTGGGACATGAAATTAAGTTTATTTCCTAAAACCAGCTCATATGAAGCTTCTACCACTAGGCTTCTGCTGCTACTGCTTTTAAACAATTAGAATATGCCTCAGCTACTAGGTCTAATTGTAGGCTATAATAGGCAACGGGCCTGTTTCCTCCCATGTTTTTGGGTAAGAACTCCTAATGCCTGATGTTAGGTTTCGAAATGAACAAGGTAAAAGATTTAGCCTGATTTGAAAGTCATAAAGCTGGGGGGTGTTATAAGGCCAATTTCATGGTGAAAAGCCAGCTCATGACTGTCTTCTTAAGGTAATGGCTCTGGGACTGTGTTTCTAGTGAGCTCATACAATGGTGAAGACATCACAGAAAAATTCAGGGTCCAGGATCTGCAATATCCTGCAAGTGTAAGAAACCCTCTTAATTGTCTTTTGGTTGCAGGCTGAGAAAAACTGAATGGTTGAGAGAGAAATCCCTTCAGCAGTCAAGTCGTATCCCAAATAGTAAATTAATTAATTAATTAATCTATCTATTTTTGAGATGGAGTCTTCCTCTGTCGCTGAGGCTGGAGGGCTGGAGTGCAGTGGCATGATTTTGGCTCACTGCAACCTCTGCCTCCAGGGTTCAAGCCATTCTTCTGCCTCAGCCTCCCCAGTAGCTGGGATTACAGGCACCTGCCACCATGCCTGGCTAATTTTTGTATTTTTAGTAGAGATGAGGTTTCACCATGTTGGCCAGGCTGGTCTTGAACTCCTGACCTCAGGTGATCCACCCACCTTAGCCTCCCAAAGTGTTGGGATTACAGGTGTGAGCCACTGCACCCAGTCCCAAATAGTAAACTTTTTCTCTCGATGTAAAACTGAAGTTTTTCCATCACAGCTTTGTGACCTATATGTGTGAGTTGCTGTAAAGTAAACAGAGTCAATTTCAGAGCACTTTTTTTTTTTCTCATTCAACCCCTTTGGTATCAGAGCACTCTTATTTATTTTACAGTTTTATTTTTTTACTTGTTTATTATTATACTTTAAGTTCTAGAGTACATGTGCACAACTTGCAGGTTTGTTACATATGTATACATGTGCCATGTTGCTGTGCTGCACCCATTAACTTGTCATTTACATTAGGTATATTTCCTAATGCTATCCCTCCCCCCTCCCCCCACCCCACAACAGGCCCCAGTGTGTGATGTTCCCCACCCTGTGTCCAAATTTTCTCATTGTTCAATTCCCACCTATGAGTGAGAACATGCAGTGTTTGGTTTTCTGTCCTTGAGACAGTTTGCTCAGAATGATGGTTTCTAGCTTCATCCATGTCCCTACAAAGGACATGAACTTATCCTTTTTTATGGCTGCATAGTATTCCATGGTGTATATGTGTCACATTTTCTTAATCCAGTCTATCATTGATGGGCATTTGGGTTGGTTCCAAGTCTTTGCTATTGTGAATAGTGCTGCAATAAACATACGTGTGCATGTGTCTTTATAGCAGCATGATTTATAATCCTTTGGGTATATGCCCAGTAATGGGATCGCGGGGTCAAATGGTATTTCTAGTCCTAGATCCTTGAGGAATCGCCACACTGTCTTCCACAATGGTTGAACTAGTTTACAGTCCCACCAACAGTGTAAAAGCATTCCTATTTCTCCACATCCTCTCCAGTCCCTGTTGTTTCCCGACTTTTTAATGATCCCCATTCTAACTGATGTGAGATGGCATCTCATGGTGGTTTTGATTTGCATTTCTCTGATGGCCAGTGATGATGAGCATTTTTTTCATGTGTCTGTTGGCTGCATAAATGTCTTCTTTTGAGGAGTGTCTGTTCATATCCTTTGCCCACTTTTTGATGGGGTTGTTTGATTTTTTCTTGTAAATTTGTTTAAGTTATTTGTAGATTCTGGATATTAGCCCTTTGTCAGATGGGTAGATTGTAAAAATTTTCTCCCATTCTGTAGCTTGCCTGTTCACTCTGATGGTAGTTTCTTTTGCTGTGCAGAAACTCTTTAGTTTAATTAGATCCCATTTGTCAATTTTGGCTTTTGTTGCCATTGCTTTTTGCGTTTTAGTCATGAAGTCCTTGCCCATGCCTATGGCCTGAATGGTATTGCCTAGGTTTTCTTCTAGGGTTTTTATGGTTTTGGGTCTAACATTTAAGTCTTTAATCCATCTTGAATGAATTTTTGTATAAGGTGTAAGGAAGGGATCCAGTTTCAGCTTTCTACATATGGCTAGCCAGTTTTCCCAGCATCATTTATTAAATAGGGAATCCTTTCCCCATTTCTTGCTTTTGTCAGGTTTGTCAAAGATCATATGATTGTAGATGTGTGGTATTATTTCCGGGGACTCTATTTTGTTCCATTGGTCTATATCTCTGTTTTGGTTACCAGTACCATGCTGTTTTGGTTACTGTAGCCTTGTAGTATAGTGTGAAGTCAGGTAGCATGATGCCTCCAGATTTGTTCTTTTGGCTTAGGATTGTCTTGGCAATGTAGGCTCTTTTCTGGTCCCATCTGAACTTTAAAGTAGTTTTTTCCAATTTTGTGAAGAAAGTCATTGGTAGCTTGATGGGGATGGCATTGAATCTATAAGTTACCTTGGGTAGTATGGCCATTTTCACAATATTGATTCTTTCTATCCATGAGCATGGAGTGTTCTTCCATTTATTTGTGTCCTCTTTTATTTCGTTGAACAGTGGTTTGTAGTTCTCCTTGAAGAGGTCCTTCACATCCCTTATAAGTTGGATTCCTAGGTATTTTATTCTCTTTGAAGCAATTGTGAATGGGAGTTCACTCATGATTTGGCTCTCTGTTTATCTGTTATTGGTGTATAAGAATGCTTGTGATTTTTGCACATTGATTTTGTATCCTGAGACTTTGCTGAAGTTGCTTATCAGCTTAAGGAGATTTTGGGCTGAGACGATGGGGTTTTCTAGATATACAATCATGTCATCTGCAAACAGGGACAATTTGACTTTCTCTTTTCCTAATTGAATACCCTTTATTTATTTATCTTGCCTGATTGCCCTGGCCAGAACTTCCAACACTATGTTGAATAGGAGTGGTGAGAGAGGGCATCCCTGTGCCGGTTTTCAGAGGGAATGCTTCCAGTTTTTGCCCATTCAGTATGATATTGGCTGTGGGTTTGTCATAAATAGCTCTTATTATTTTTAGATACATCCCATCAATACCTAGTTTATTGAGAGTTTTTAGCATGAAGGGCTGTTGAATTTTGTCGAAGGCCTTTTCTGCATCTATTGAGATAATAATGTGGTTTTTGTCTTTGGTTCTGTTTATATGATGGATTACATTTATCAATTTGCATATGTTGAACCAGCCTTGCATCCTAGGGATGAAGCCAACTTGATCATGGTGGATAAGCTTTTTGATGTGCTGCTGAATTCGGTTTGCCAGTATTTTATTGAGGATTTTTGCATCAATGTTCATCAAGGATGTTGGTCTAAAATTCTCTTTTTTTGTTGTGTCTCTGCCGGGCTTTGGTGTCAGGATGATGTTGGCCTCATAAAATGAGTTAGGGAGGATTCCCTCTTTTTCTATTGATTGGAATAGTTTTAGAAGGAATGGTACCAGCTCTTCTTTGTACCTCTGGTAGAATTCAGCTGTGAATTCTTCTGGTCCTGGACTTTTTTTGGTTGGTAGGCTATTAATTATTGCCTCAATTTCGGAACATGTTATTGGTCTATTCAGAGATTCAACTTCTTCCTGGTTTAGTCTTGGGAGGGTCTATGTGTCCAGGAATTTATCCATTTCTTCTAGATTTTCTAGTTTATTTGTCTAGAGGTGTTTATAGTATTCTCTGATGGTAGTTTGTATTTCTGGGGGATCGGTGGTGTTCTCCCCTTTATCATTTTTTATTTCATCTATTTGATTCTTCTCTCTCTTCTTCTTTATTAGTCTTGCTAGTGGTCTATCAATTTTGTTGATCTTTTCAAAAAACCAGCTCCTGGATTCATTGATTTTTTGAAGGGCTTTTTGTGTCTCTATTTCCTTCAGTTCTGCTCTGATCTTAGCTATTTCTTGCCTTCTGCTAGCTTTTGAATGTGTTTTCTCTTGCTTCTCTAGTTCTTTTAACTGTGATGGTAGGGTGTCAATTTTCGATCTTTCCTGCTTTCTCTTGTGGGCATTTAGTGCTATAAATTTCCCTCTACACACTACTTTAAATGTGTCCCAGAGATTCTGGTATGTTGTGTTTTTATTCTTATTGGTTTCAAAGAACATCTTTATTTCTGCCTTCATTTCGTTATGTACCTAGTAGTCATTCAGGAGCAGGTTGTTCAGTTTCCATGTAGTTGAGCAGTTTTGAGTGAGTTTCTTAATCCTGAGTTCTAGTTTGATTGCCCTGTGGTCTGAGAGACAGTTTGTTATAATTTCTGTTCTTTTACATTTGCTGAGGAGTGCTTTACTTCCAACTATGTGGTCAATTTTGGAATAAGTGTAATGTGGTGCTGAGAAGAATGTATATTCTGTTGATTTGGGGTGGAGAGTTCTGTAGATGTCTATTAGGTCCGCTTGGTGCAGAGCTGAATTCAATTCCTGGGTATCCTTGTTAACTTTCTGTCTCGTTGATCTGTCTAATGTTGACAGTGGGGTGTTAAAGTCTCCCAGTATTATTGTGTGGGAGTCTAAGTCTCTTCGTAGGTCTCTAAGGACTTGCTTTATGAATCTGGGTGCTCCTGTATTGGGTGCATGTATATTTAGGATAGTTAGCTCTTCTTGTTGAATTGATCCCTTTACCATTATATAATGGCCTTCTTTGTCTCTTTTGATCTTTGTTGGTTTAAAGTCTGTTTTATCAGAGACTAGGATTGCAACCTCTGCGCTTTTTTTTTTTTTCCATTTGCTTGATAGATCTTCCTCCATCCCTTTATTTTGAGCCTATGTGTGTCTCTGCATGTGAGATGGGTCTCTTGAATACACCACACTGATGGGTCTTGACTCTTATCCAATTTGCCAGTCTGTGTCTTTTAATTGGTGCATTTAGCCCATTTACATTTAAGGTTAATATTGTTATGTGTGAATTTGATCCTGTCATTATGATGTTAGCTGGTTATTTTGCTCGTTAGTTGATGCAGTTTCTTCCTAGCCTCGATGGTCTTTATAATTTGGCATGTTTTTGCAGTGGCTGGTACTGGTTGTTCCTTTCCATGTTTAGTGCTTCCTTCAGGAGCTCTTGTAAGGCAGGCCTGGTGGTAACAAAATCTCTCAGCATTTGTTTGTCTGTAAAGTTTTTTATTTCTCCTTCACTTATGAAGCTTAGTTTGGCTGGATATGAAATTCTGAATTGAAAATTCTTTTCTTTAAGAATGTTGAATATTGGCCACCACTCTCTTCTGGCTTGTAGAGTTTCTGCCGAGAGATCCGCTGTTAGTCTGATGGGCTTCCCTTTGTGGGTAACCCGACCTTTCTCTCTGGCTGCCCTTAACATTTTTTCCTTCATTTCAACTTTGGTGAATCTGACAATTATGTGTCTTGGAGTTGCTCTTCTTGAGGATTATCTTTGTGGCATTCTCTGTATTTCCTGAACTTGAATGTTGGCCTGCCTCGCTAGATTGGGGAAGTTCTCCTGGATAATATCCTGCAGAGTGTTTTCCAACTTGGTTCCATTCTCCCAGTCACTTTCAGGTACACCAATCAGACGTAGATTTGGTCTTTTCACATAGTACCATATTTCTTGGAGGCTTTGTTTGTTTCTTTTTACTCTTTTTTCTCTAAACTTCTCTTCTCGCTTCATTTCATTCATTTGGTCTTCAATCACTGATACTCTTCCACTTGATCAAATCAGCTACTGAAGCTTGTGCATGCGTCACGTAGTTCTTGGGCCATGGTTTTCAGCTCCATCAGGTCATTTAAGGACTTCTCTACACTGTTGATTCAGTTAGCCATTCGTCTAATCTTTTTTCAAGGTTTTTAGCTTCTTTGCGATGGGTTTGAACATCCTCCTTTAGCTCGGAGAAGTTTGTTTTTACTGATCGTCTGAAGCCTTCTTCTCTCAACTCATCAAAGTCATTCTCCGTCCAGCTTTGTTCCATTGCTGGCAAGGAGCTGTGTTCCTTTGGAGGAGAAGAGGTGCTCTGATTTTTAGAATTTTCAGCTTTTCTGCTCTGGTTTCTCCCCGTCTTTGTGGTTTTATCTACTTTGGTCTTTGATGATGGTGATGTACAGATGGGGTTTTGGTGTGGATGTCCTTTCTGTTTGTTAGTTTTCCTTCTAACAGTCAGGACCCTCAGCTGCAGGTCTGTTGGATTTTGCTGGAGGTCCACTCCAGACCCTGTTTGCCTGGGTATCACCAGTGGAGGCCGCAGAAGAGCAAGTATTGCAGAATGGCAAATGTTGCTGCCTCATCCTTCCTCTGGAAGCTTCGTCTCAGAGGGGCACCCAGCTGTATGAGGCGTCAGTCAGCCCCTACTGGGAGGTGTCTCCCACTTAGGCTACTTTCGGGGGTCAGGGACCCACTTGAGGAGGCAGTCTGTCTGTTCTCAGATCTCAAACTCTGTGCTGGGAGAAGCTCTGCTCTCTTCAAAGCTCAGTTGGAAATGCAGAAATCACCCATCTTCTGCGTCGCTCATGCTGGGAGCTGCAGACTGGAGCTGTTCCTATTTGGCCATCTTGGAACCTCCCCCAGCTTTTTTTTTTTGTTTTTTTTTTTGAGAAGAAGTCTTGCTCTGTCGCCCAGGCTGGAGTGCAGTAGTGCAATCTCGGTAGGCTCACTGCAACCTCCACCTCCTGAGAATCAAGTGATTCTCCTGCCTCAGCCTCCTGAGTAGCTGGGACTACAGGCGGGAGCCACCATGACTAGCTAATTTTTGTATTTTTAGTAGAGACAAGGTTTCACCATGTTGGCCAAGCTGGTCTTGGAATCCTGACCTCAAGTGATCTGCCCGCCTCGGCCTCCCAAAGTGTTAGGATTATAGGCGTGAGCCACCATGCCTGGCCCAGAGCACTCTTTAGTGGGAGAGCATAACATGCCATCTACATACTGAATTAGGATAGGATTTCGACCAGGCAGAGTGGCTCATGTCTGTAATCCCAGTGCTTTGAGAAGCTGAGGTGGGTGAATCGCTTGAGCTCAGGAATTAAAGACCAGCCTGGGCAACATGGCAAAACCTCATCTCTATTAAAAAATATACATTTAATAAAGAAAAATAAAAAGGAAAATAGAAGAATAGAATTTCAAGGAAACTGTAGGGTTATTAATTCCTGATTCAATGCCTGGGAAAAATACAAATAGGCTTCAGTAAACCTCTGTGGCATTATAGTACAGGGGTACTGCTGGCTTTTCTAAATAAAAGCAAACAAATACTGACTGTTTTTATAAACTGGAATGCTAAAGAAGGCTGAGCAGAAGTCTGTTACTATGAACCACTTTGAATCAGAGGGTAAATTAGATGATAAAGTTTTAGAATTTGGAACCACAGAAAGCCTTGATATTACAATTTTATTAACTGCCCATAAATCTTGAACGAATCTCCAACCTGATCCATTTGGTTTTGGTATTTTGTTTTTTTTGAGATGGAGTCTCATTCTGTTGCCTAGGCTGGAGTGCAGTGGCGTGATCTTGGCCCACTGCAATCTCTGCCTCTTGGGTTCAAGCAATTCTCCTGCTTCAGCCTCCCTAGTAGCTGGGAGTACAGGCATGTGCCACCACACCTGGTTAATTTTTGTATTTTCACTAGAGATGGGGTTTCATTATGTTGACCATGCTGGTCTTGAACTCCTGGCATCAAGTTGTCTGCCCGCCTTGGCCTCCCAAAGTGCTGGTGCTACAGGCATGAGCCACTGTCCCCTGCCCACTTTTTTTTTTTTTTTAACTGGTAGGATTGGAGTGTTTCAAGGACTGGTACACAGAATTGTAAATCCTTGTATAATTAAATCTTGTGCAATTGGTGAGAGCCCTTGAATTGCTTCTGGTATTAGTGGATTGGGGTAATTTAGGTAAAGGTTTAGAATGATCCATTTGCACTTTTATAGGTTCCACCCTTTTAGTCCTTCCTGTATCATTTGAGAAAGAGGCCCATAAACGTTCACGTGTTTAGAAATGTCAGGGGTATTACAGGGTTGAGAGTTGATCTTATCCATTTCTGCCTGTAGAGAGAACAGTTCTGGTTCAGGAGAGTCAGGAAACTCTAAGAGTAATTTTTTCCCTGAGGAGTTATTGGTATGCCCTTTCAGCGTTGAAAGTAAGTCTCAACCTAGCAAGTATACTGGAGTAGAATCACAGCAAAAAGGTATGTTTTTCTGAAAATAGCCCCAAAGTCAATTGGATGGGTTCAGATAAGGAAACCTCTTGAAGCTGGTTGAAAACCCCCACCACAGAAATGACCTGTTCAATCTGCAGGATTTGTTGGCATATTAAAGTGGGATTTATGGATGAGGTGGTTCTGATATCCACTAAGATTGTACAAGATTCTTCTTCTTCTTCTTCTTTTTTTTTTTTTTTGAGATGGAGTCTTGCTCTGTCGCCCAGGCTGGAGTGCAGTGGGGCAATCTCGGCTCACCGTAACATCCGCCTCCTGGGTTCAAGTGATTCTCCTGCCTCAACCTCCTGAGCAGCTGGGACTACAGGCGCGCAGCACTGCACCCAGCTAAATTTTTTGTATTTTTAGTAGAGACGGGGTTTTACCATATTGGCCAGGCCAGTCTCAAACTCCTGACCTCGTGATCCACCTACCTCGCCTCCCAAAAGTGCTGAGATTACCAGGGTGAGCCACCATGCCCAGCAAGATTCTTCATTTAAAAAAAAAATTATTATTTTTTTGAGACAGGGTCTTGCTCCATCACCCAGGCTGGAATGCAAGGGCACAATCTCAGCTCACTACAATCTCTGTCTCCTGGGCTCAAGAGATTCTACCACCTTAGTCTCACCAATAGCTAGGACTACAGGCACACACCACCATGCCTGGCTAATTTTTGTATTATTATTATTATTATTATTATTATTATTTTGGTAGAGATGGGATTTTGCCTTATTGCCCAGTCTGGTCTCAAACTCATGGGCTCAGGTTCTCTGCCCGCCTTGGCTTTCCAAAGCGCTGGGACTACAGGTGTGAGCCACCATGACCTGCCTCTCCATTTGTTTATTTATTTTAACTCTTGTTTCTCCATGTTTATTTAAGCATTTTACAAAATTGGAGAATCTCTCGGAGCCTCATTCATGTTGACTATCATCACGAGAACTAAAATATCATGTGCTTTCATTGGAGGTGAAATAGACTGTATTAGTCCATTTTCATGTTGCTGATAAATACATAACCGAGACTGGGATGAAAAAGAGGTTTAATGGATTTACAGTTCTGCATGGCTGAGGAGGCCTCACAACCATGGCAGAAGGCAAGGGGGAGCAAGTCATGGATGGCGGCAGGCAAAAGGAGAGAACTTGTGCAGGGAACCTCCTCTTTATAAAACCATCAGATCTTGTGAGACTTATTCACTATTATGAGAACAGCACGGGAAAGACTTGCCCTCATGATTCAATTACCTCCCACTGGGTCCCTCCCACAACATGTGAGAATTCAAGATGAGATTTGTGTGGGGACACAGCCAAACCATATCACATATCACAAAGGGAGGAGGCTTATTGGTGGACTGACATAAAAGTGGACAATCTTTTTTCCAGTTTCCCCAAAGTAAGGAAGGCTTTAGTAAACCCCTGTGGCATTCCCCTGTGGTTTGTAATGAAGGCAGACAGCTTAGAGTAAATAATTTCTTGTTTTAGGACCTCTTGGTTGTGATTTAAATTAAAAACGAGAAGATCCTTTCGGTCTGGGCCCCCGTAACTGTTGTAATTGGAGAGATATAAGCTTATTAGCCTTTTGGCTTTATTTCTTACACTAGAGTCTTCTCAAAATGTTCAGTTAAGGCCACCAATTCAACCATATCTGTAACTTCCCATTCCGGTTTATGTTTTTTTTTTAAATTAAACTGTTAAGTTCAGAATGGGGTCCATTTATAAAGACAGGTTAATGCCATTTCAGTCCCTGCAGGAAATACTCCTTGCTGTACTTTCAGCCCAGAATGTTTCACAATGTTTCTAAGCGAGTTCTTTCATCTGAAACTGGTTCATCCTGTTTTTGTCTGCAGGATTGTATGATGGACCAATCAATTTTTTTTTTTGGTGGAAAAATCTTAGGAATTGAACTTAAAAGGTTGTCAGCAATTCTTCTAGTTCCTTTTAGCCCTTCTCATGAGGAGGTTTTGGGGGAGTCTTTAATATTCTTCTCAGGTCTGTCGCATTGTGCTACCACCAGCCATTTTCAAGCTTTGTCAGGCCCCAATATCATGTGAATAAGTTGGTAAAGGTCAGGGAATCGTGAATTGTAAGCTCCTAGGAGAATTCTAAATTCTTCAGTAAATTTCTGAGGATTTTCTTGTGGGCTAGGGAAGTCTTTTACAATGGCTTTTAGCTCCATTTTAAGCCATGGAGTGAAGGTGGTTACAGCAAGAAGACATCTGTCTAACTTCTTTGTTTTCATCATCTTCAGGGTAAAAGAGTAATGAAGCAAAAAGGTCCACTCTGTTGCCCAGGCTGGAGTGCAGCGGTACAATCATGGCTCACAGTAGCTTTGGTCTCTCAGGCTCAAGTGATCCTTCCACTTCAGCTTCCTGAGTAGCTGGGGGTACAGGCATGTGCCCCCACACCTGGCTATTAAAAAAAAATTTTTTTTTTGGCCGGGTGCGGTGGCTCATGCCTATAATCCCAGCATTTTGGGAGGCCGAGGCGGGTGGATCACCTGAGGTCAGGAGTTCGAGACCAGTCTCGCCAACATGGTGAAACCCCGTCTCTACTAAAAATACAAATATTAGCCAGGCATGGTGGCACACGCCTGTAATCCCAGCTACTCAGGAGGCTGAGACAGGAGAACTGCTTCAACCCAGGAGGCGGAGGTTGCAGTGAGCCAAGATCATACCACTGCACTCCAGCCTGGATGACAGAGCAAGACCTTGTCTCAAAAAAAAAAAAAATTTTTTTTTTCTTTTTTTTGTAGAGATTGTATCTCACTATGCTGCCTAGGCTGGTCTCGAACTCGTGGGCTCAAGCGATCCTCCTATCTCACCCTCCCAAAGTGCTGGGATTATAGGTGTGAGCCACCATGCCTGGTCCGGAAGCAATTTTAAATTCATTTAGCCTTTTAGGTACCTCCACAAGCCAATTAAAGAATACGTCCTGGAGAAAGAGAGAGCATCAGGATAAATAGCTAATGCATGTGGAGCTTAATACCTAAGTGATAGGTTGATAGGTGCAGCAAACCATCATGGCACACATTTACCTATGTAACAAACCTGCACATCCTGCACATGTATCTCGGAATTTAAAATAAAAAAAGAGAATACATCCTATTGTTTTTGCAGGATTTTTGATTCTCTTAAAACATGTGCCTTGCAAATAAACAATTTGATCCAAATTAAAACTTCCCCATTGTTAATTCGAAGTTGTCTCTAGTAAGGTTAACCAACTTTTCTGAAAATGCACATGTTCTGGGCCCATAATTTTTATAATAAAATTATCTGGAGTCCTAGAAGGTGGAGTCCCAGACTCCTTGGACTGAGATGAACTCGTTATCAGAAAAGCACTAAGGCCTGAGTCTTCCAGCTGAATCTAATCCAGTTAATTGTCAAAGTCAATCTGATCTTGGACTCAGATCAGTCTAAATATTGCTCAAATCAACTTAGCTCAAAGCACAATTTAGTGGAACTTGGAATTTAAGAGAAAAGCCACACATCAGCCGGGCACAGTGGTTCACGCCTGTAAACCCAGCATTTTGGGAGGCTGAGGTGGGTGGATCACTTGAGGTCAGGATTTTGAGACCAGCCTGGCCAACATGATGAAACCCCATCTCTATTAAATATACAAAAATTAGCTGGGCGTGGCAGTGCACGCCTGTAATCCCAGCTACTCAGGAGGCTGAGGCAGGAGAATCGCTTGAACCTGGGAGACGGAGGTTGCAGTGAGCCGAGATCATGTCACTGCACTCCAGCCTGGGCGACTGAGCAAGACCCTGTCTCAAAAAAAAAAAAAAAAAAAAAAAAGGGAAAAACCACTCATGGCCTCCAGTTACCAACAAGAGGGCACTGAATGCAGTTGGATTCGTGGATACCTGAACTGGTCACCTGGTGCACTGGAGTTTTAGTTTACATCTTCACTTCTGACACTGAATATTAGAAGAAAAACTTGAGACAAATTAAATTAACAAAGTTTAATTGAGCCAGAAAGAAAAAAAATGATTTTGGCAGCCCCAGAACCAGACAGATTTAGAGGACTCCAGGGCAGCTGCATGATTGGATAAGATTTATGGACAAAAAAAAGGAAAGTGACGTACAGAAAATGGAAGTGAGCACGGGACCCACTGGATTGATTACAGCGTGGTGTCTGACTTTCTTGAACAGTTTGGACAGCTGACCGTCTGTGATTGGTTGAAGCATAGCTGCTGTGCTTCACTGGGACTGAGCTATTGTTCCAGAAGCACCTCCAAGGTTGGGTTTTCAGTTTGTCTCTGCACTAAATTAGGTGGAGTTTTTATTTTTTTTTGAGACAGAGTCTTACTTTGTTGCCCAGGCTGGAGTGCAGTGGCGTGATCTCAGCTCACTGCAAGCTCTGCCTCCCAGCTTCAAGCGATTCTCCTGCCTCAGCCTCCTGAATAGTTGGGATTACAGGCGCCCACCACCACGCCTGGCTGATTTTTGTATTATTAGTAGAGACGGGGTTTCACCGTGTTGGCCAGGGTGGTCTCCAACTCCTGACCTCAGGTGATCTGCCCGCCTCAGCCTCCCAAAGTGCTGGGATTACAGGTGTAAACCACTGTGCCCAGCCTAGTTTGTGTACTTTTTTTTTTTTTTTTTTTTTTGTTTGTGTACTTTTTAATAAGCCCTGTGAGTAATCTGAAAGTCCTCTGCTTTAGGAGTATAGGTGACATTCTGGGGGCAGCAGGAAAAGCCTATTCAATATCCTATTACACCGGCTTTCATTAAGACAGGAAGGTTCAGAAGAAACACCAACAGGGTGTGCATTTTATATGATTTGGTGTTAGGGCACCTTCCCCATCCCCAGAATAAAATTTGGTGAATGTACCCAAAGTCTTCCAAACTTTCATACTCCTGTAATATAACCTCCTAGAAATTGGTATTCATTTCAAGGAAGTAATAGTACACACACAACAAATGAAGAAAACCTCTTCCTAAAGACATTTATTTCAGCATTATCTGTAATGTGAAAAAATAGGAACGATTTCAACTTCTTTTTTTTTTTTTTTAGAGATTAGATCTGGCTATGTTGTTCAGGTTGGTCTCGAACTCCTGGACTCAAGTAATCCTCCTGCCTTGGCCTCCCAAAGTGTTGGGATTATAGGTGTGAGTCACAGTGCCCGGGGGGAACCAGTTTAAGTAAATGATGGATTATTTATTTATTTATTTTTCAGACGGAGTCTCGCTCTGTTGTCCAGGCTGGAGTGCAGTGGCCACAATCTCGGCCTACTGCAACCTCCACCTCCCTGGTTCAAGCAATTCTCCTGTCTCAGCCTCCTGAGTAGCTGGGACTACAGGTACACACCACCACACCTGGCTAATTTTTGTATTTTTGGTAGAGTTGGGGTTTCACCATGTTGGCTAGGCTGGTCTCAAACTCCTGACCTCAAGTGATCCACCTGCCTCGACCTCCCAGAATTCTGGGATTACAGGTGTGAGCCACTATGACCTGCCAGATATTTTTCTTGATAAAATTTTATGTAGCCAATAAAAATGTCTATTACAATTCAAAGATAAAACAGAGATATGTTTGTATTATGAAGTTAGGTGGACTGAAACTGATTTTCCTGTTGGATGTACAATAGGATCAACTTAAAAAAATGTGAGCAAAGAATGTACCAATGTGTTAACTCTATCATTTGGTAACAGGAATTTTCATTTATTTGAAATAAAAAATTTTTTTCTATGTAAGTGCAGAAAAGAATAAGCAAGAAAAAACACATGAGTGATTTTCTTTTTAGTTTTGTGTTTTCAAAGAAACAAAAATAATTCAGAGCCAAGAGGTATTACAAGTTTTAAGTGTGAAAAAAAGCTGTCCACTGCCCTGCTTCTTCCTGCTCTCCTGGGGAACCCTGTTCAAGCCTGTAATATATTTCCCCCGGTCAAAATAATGTGCTTATGTTGCCATTTCTTGAATGATGATTTTAGACATTATCTCCTTCTTTGTAAACCAGATGAAGAGTTAGGTCTCTTATACCCCTGCAGTGGGTTGAATAATGGCCCTCCCCAAATTTATGTCCACCTGGAGCCTCAGAATGTGAACTTATTTGGAAATAGGGTCTTTGCAAATGTAATGAAGTTAAGGACCTTGAGATTATTTTGGATTTACGGTGGTGCCTGGATTTACAGTGGGACTCGTTTTGACTGGTGTCCTTGTGAATAGAGGAGAGGACACACAGAGATGCAGAGAGAAGGATGGAGGCAGGGACTGGAGTGAGGCAGCCCCAAGGCAGGGAATGCCAAGGGCTGCTGGGAGTCATCAGGAGCTGCAAGAGAAGCATGGAACACATTCTCGCTCCATCTCCAGGGGGAGCCAGCCCTTCCAAAACCTTGGCTTCAGGCTTCTGGTTTCCAGAACTGTGAGAGAATAATTTCTTTTGCTTTAAGCCACCTGGTTTGTGGTAATTTTTTAGGGCAATGCTAGGAAAATATGAATAATACAACCCCCATCTCTCTCTATCTACCCCTATGTGCACATCATGATGGCTTTTAACCTTTTTTTTTTTTTTTGGGGAGGGAGTCTTGCTCTGTCGCCCAGGCTGGAATGCAGTGGCGCGATTTTGGCTCACTGCAACCTCTGCCTCCTGGGTTCAAGCGATTCTCCTGCCTCAGCCTCCTGAGTAGCTGGGATTACAGGCATGCACCACCACACCCAACTAATGTTTTTGTATTTTCAGTAGAGACGGGGTTTCGCCCTTTTGGCCAGGCTGGTGTTGAACTCCTGACCTCAGGGATCCGCCTGCCTCGGCCTCCCAAAGTGCTGGGATTACAGGTGTGAGCCACCGCGCCTGGCCCCAACCTTTCTATTCTCAGACTTTTCAGCGATGAGCACGCATTACATTTATATTGGAAGAAAACAGGCATTGTTACGGCAGAGGGTGAGGATATGAAAATGCAGAGACTACACTGGGTGCAGTGGCTCAAGCCTGTAATCCCAACACTTTGGGAGGCCGAGGTGGGTGGATCACTTGAGGTCAGGAGTTGGAGACCACCCTGGCCAAGATGGCGAAATTCCGTCTCTACTAAAAATACAAAAATTCAAGACCAGCCTGGTCAACATGGCGAAACTCTGTCTCTACTAAAAATAAAAAAAAAATTAGCTGGGTGTGGTGGC
Organism: Homo sapiens; assembly: GCF_000001405.40. Classification (NCBI taxonomy): domain Eukaryota; kingdom Metazoa; phylum Chordata; class Mammalia; order Primates; family Hominidae; genus Homo; species Homo sapiens. The sequence continues at coordinate 92,746,414 of NC_000015.10, read as the reverse complement.
GTGCACCTGTAATCCCAGCTACTCACTCAGGAGGCTGAGGCACGAGAATCTCTTGAACACAGGAGGTGGAGGTTGCAATGAGCCGAGATTGTGCCACTGCACTCCAGCCTGGGTGACGGAGTGAGACTCTGTCTCCAAAAAAAAAAAAAAAAGGTGGAGACTGGGGAAGACGAAGGTCACTCAGAGTCTGGCTGATGTGGGCGAGAGAGTGACTGTGTGTGTTGAGGACAGAGGTCCCCGTGGCTTAGTTATCAGGACTGAAGACTGAAACCACCTGTGTCAACATGACCATTTATTCCAGAACATTCTTGCCTGAGAAGATAAAACTGTAAACCAGTAAATACCTCACTGTTTGCTTTGGAAATTCTTGAAAACCTATTTAAACAAGATGTTGCATATTTGGGCATGTAGGCCCCCTTCTCAGGACAGTTGGATGCTCACCTGGGAAGAAGGTTTACTTGCCAAACAATTGCATCCTAATCAAGACTTGCTTTATGGCTCTTGCCCCATTGTGGCCCTTCATTCTAAACTAGAACATCACGAACTTTGCCCAACTGTAGTCAGTTCCCCACATTCAAAGACCTACCTTAAACCACTTGAATTTTTTTTGAGACAGAGTCTCGCTCTGTCCCCCAGGCTGCTGTGCAGTGGCATAATCTTGGCTCACTGCAACCTCCATCTCCCAGATTCAAGCAATTCTCCTGCCCCAGCCTCCCGAGGAGTTGGGATTACAGGCACGCACCACCCCCGCCTAATTTTTGTATTTTTGGTAGAGACGAGGTTTCACCATGTTGGCTAGGCTGGTCTCGAACTCCTGACCTCAGGTGACCCACCCACCTCGGCCTTCCAAAGTGCTAGGATTACAGGCGTGAGCCACTGTGCCCGGCCAAACCACTTGAATTCGAACACTAAAACCCAGTAGGTATCTGTCACTTGTCTCCCCCTTCTGAGACACTCCTATGGCCTGGTCAGGGTTAATTTGCTGTCCTTGACAGCAGTTTGGTAAAAAAAAGTCATGGCTTTGTTTGATGCATGGGTTATTCTGGTGGTCTTTCTGGGAAGTTGGCAGTCAACAGCACGTAAATGTTTGAATGTGTGTGTTTTTACTTGTGTGACAGTGTCTGTGAATTTGTGGTAGGAGGTATGTGCACATGTGTGCTTGCCGGCTAGAAGTCAGGCTGGAGAGGTAGAGTACGATTTGTGAAGGGTCTCCAATGTCAACCTAGGGAATTTGAATTTTTTTCTATAGGTAATGGAGGTCTTAGAGGCTTTAACAGAGAGAGATGATGACATGTTCAGGTCAGTGTTTTGAAAAAATATCTGTGATCTTGTCTTGGGAGAATTCTCAGGGCCATAGATGAAGTGGATGAGATTGTCCATCAACAATGTGGGTTAAAGATGACTGCATATTGTTTGCCACTTTCCTATCAAGAATGGAGTTGGCTGGGCTCAGTGGCTCATACCTGTAATCCTAGCACTTTGTGGGGCTGAGGCAGGAGGACTGCTTGAGTTGAGGAGTTGGAAACCAGCCTGGGTAACACAGGGAGATCCTGTCTTTACAAAAAAATAGAAAAATTAGCCGGGCATGGTGGCCCATGCCTATAATCCCAGCTGCTCAGGAGACTGAGGTGAGAGGATTGCTTGAGCTTGGGAGGATGAGGCTGCAGTGAGTCAGATTGTGCCACTGCATTGCAGCCTGGGCAACAGAGCAAGACCCCATCTCTAAATAAATAAATAAGAAATGGAGTTTATCCCATCCCCCTTTATATTTGTGCTAGGCTGGAACTTGTTTTGACCAACAGAACACAATGGAAGTGACGCTATAATTCCTAAGGCTCAGCCTTGGAGACTGGCAGCTCTGCTTTCCTCTTTGGAACATCTCCTTTTAGATGCCAGCTGCTAGATAAAAAGTGTGCGACCACCGGCTGGGCGCTGGGGCTCACGCCTGTAATCCCAACACTTTGGGAGGCCGAGATGGGCGGATCACAAGGTCAGAAGATCGAGACCATCCTGGCTAACACAGTGAAACCCCGTCTCTTCTAAAAATACAAAAAATTAGCCAGGCGTGGTGGCGGGCGCCTGTAGTCCCAGCTACTTGGGAGGCTGAGGAAGGAGAATGGCGTGAACCCGGGAGGCAGAGCCTGTAGTGAGCCAAGATAGCTTCACTGCAGTCTGGCCTGGGCAGCAGAGCGAGACTCCGTCTCAAAAAAAAAAAAAAAAAAGTGTGCAACCACCATGTTGTGAGGAAGTCCAAGCTAGCCACATGGAGAGAATGGCCACAGGGAAAAGCACAGAGGCACTTCCCATATGGGTGAAGCCTTCTTGAAAGTTCCACTCCAACCTAGCCACTGGCTTATGCTGCTGAGTGAATGACCCCAGCCAATGCCACATGGAGCAAGCCTCCCATCTGAACCTTCTGTAAATTTCTGACTCACAGAATCTTGAGCAAGCAACATTGTTGTTTTAAGCCACTAAGTTATAGGGTAGTTTGTTATGCAAGTAATAGACAACCGAACCAAACAGCTAACATTTCTTGGTTATTCAGTCTACATTAAGTGCTAGGCCTCTCCTCCTCTCCTTAATCCTAGAGGTAGGATTATTAGTTATTATTATTCCCATTTTACAAGTGGAGGCACTGAAGGTGAGGGAAAAAGTGTCAGGGACAAGAAGGATGGAACTAAAGGAAATGTGGATGTCGGGTGAGAGGACTCAAATAAGGATGTAGAGAGGAGAGAAGGTGCTGGAGAAGCCCTTGGTCTGGGCTTCATTCGGAGGATCTGATTCTCAGAGAGGGATGCAGACTCTGGATTGGGGCTGGCTCCTGGCTTTAAGTGTTTCTTGCCTCCTTCCTTCAGACTCTCCAACCAATGAACATCCAGGTAGACCTACCTGCCCTTCCACCCCCACTCTCCAGTTAGAATTACCAAGTAAAACCTGGGTTTGGGGTGAAGTCTTATTTACTTTTTTTTGGAGGGGAGAGGTAGGTAGCAGGGAGAGCGAGACTTTTCCTGATCTATAAAATTAATTGGCTCAAAATATTTGCCTTCTTGGGCTTCAGCAGCTTGGAGAAATTCACTCCTTAATGAGGAATTTCACCAGCTATGAATTGATATGCAAATCTATGCAAATAACACACAACTCTTCCGGGGCCTCTTGAGAAAGGTTTTTGTTTTTAATAGGATTACTTCACTGGGCCAATTCAATTGTGTAGAAAAAGCCTTCTGCAAATGAGATTTTCATATCAATAAGAGCTGCCATGGATTGAGTATCAGGCACTTGATGTGTCTGTTTATAAGCCTCCCATTGCAAAACCAAGCAAAGCTCCAGATGGGCAAACTGCAGACAGCACCTTGTAGCTGGAACTCAGGTTTGCCTACAAAGCCAAGAAATACAAAAACCATAATCTTAAATAATGCTTCACTTCTACCATTAGGTGAGGCACTTTACCCTAAGAGCCACATTCAAATGCTAAAATATCAACATTTCTGAATTTCAACTGTAGGAAGCACAGGGTAGATGATAAGGGGTTTTTAAAACATATTTTCTGATTATGAAATAACAACTATTGACAGGCAGATGGGAATGGAAGTTAAGGGTGCACTTTTTTTTTTTTTTTTTTTTTTTGAGACAAGGTCTCATTCTGTCACTCAGGCTGGAGTGCAGTGGCGTGATCTCGGCTCACAACAACCTCCACCTCCAGGTTCAAGCAATTCTGCCACCTCAACCTCCCTAGCAGCTGGGACTGCAGGCATGCTCCACCACGCCCTGCTAATTTTTGTAGTTTTTGGTAGAGATGGGGTTATACCATGTTGGCCAGGCTGGTCTTGAACACTTGATCGGAAGTGATCCCCTGGCCTCAGCCACCCAAAGTGCTGCGATTACAGGTGAGAGCCACCATGCCCGACCAAGTGGGCACATTCTTGAAGCCCAGGTCCACCACTTCCCAACTGTGAGAAGGAGGATTAGTGGCACTCAGCCTCTCTCAGTTTACCCATCTGTAGCCTGGAGTTAATGGTAATACCAATTTACAGGGTGGATGTAAGGATTAACTGAGTTTATTCTGTAAAGTATTTGATGCCTAGCAGTAAGGAACTGCCCAGTAAATGTTAGTATGTGCCCAATAGTGGCATGGTCATGGCTCACAGAACCTCCGTCTCCCGGGTTCAAGCAATTCTCCTTCTTTGGAAGGAAGTCACTAAGCACAGCCCATAATTAAGGAGTAGGAGTTATGCCTCACCTTCTTTAGGTTGGAATACTACAGAATTTATTTGGAGCTTTTTTGCACAGGAGGAGACTTTCCTTTTTTTTTTTTTTTTTTTGAGGTGGAATCTAGCTCTGTGGCCCAGGCTGGAGTGCAGTGGTGCGATCCGATCTCAGCTTACTTCAACCTCCGCCTCCTGGGTTCAAGTGATTCTCCTGCCTCAGCCTCCCAAGGAGCTGGGATTACAGGAACGTGCCACCACGCCTGGCTAATTTTTGTATTTTTAGTGGAGACGTGGTTTCACCATGTTGGCCTAGCTGGTCTCGAACTCCTGACCTCAGGTGATCCACACATCTCAGCCTGCTGAAGTGCTGGGATTACAGGCGTGAGCCACCGCGCCTGGCCAACAGGAGACTTTTCTCTGTCGTTAATTCATTTATTCAATCATTTATTTCTATCAGTCAGGATTAATGGATATTTATTTTGTACTTTGGGCTATAATTTAATACCTTTTTTTTTTTTTTTTTTTTTTGCTCAAATTCTTCCAGCCTTGGCCATTGGGAAATCTTGAAATCTTTCAGTTGGTTCCTTTGATACTCCCATCACTGTGAATTTTTTTTTTTGAGCACTTTCTTACTTTCTGGTGATGCTCCAAACTTACTTGTATATTTTCTTTCCCAGTCTTAGAATCAGCCATTTCTCTGGTTCTTTGGAGAATGGTGTTAGAAATCAAGATCCAAGATCTGGGCACTAGGTGTGCTCATTGCTACTGGAATGTGGTTGCTTCTAGGCTGTCTCAGCTGACAGAGCAAGAAGATTCATGTATATTTACTAACTTGTGATACATGCGTATCTTTATATGTAATCACTGTATCTATATTAAGCAAAACATGAGTTTATGCTTAAGTAAGCAACTCTAATCCATCGCCACATGGAGCATTCTCGCCACTTGCCCTCGATTATCTCTGGCCTCCAACCCCAAGAATAAGAAACCTGACTCCCATGATCTCTTGTCCATTTACTTATTTAATTCCAATATACATGTATAGCAGTACATGTTAACCTGTATCTCCACCTCATTCAGTTTTTAACAGTTGGTAATTATCATCATTTTAAATTCTGCAACACATAAACTTTCTAACTTTCAGTAATATACTTCGATATTTATTGCAGATTCCATTGTTACTTGGCAGTGATCTCTTTGTTTTGTAAAAAAGGATATCAGCACCTATATTCTTTCCTTCTCCCGTCTTATCTCCCTTCTACCATCTAACTTCTGTCAGTTGTACATTCATTTTTAAGTTATCAAGGATTAATATTTAAATTAATCTCTGTAGCCAAAATTAGGTCTTTGGGCTATGTCAGTAGGTTGATTACAAAAGAGTAAAATTAAAAAATAACATTTATACTACTAGGACTATATAAAGACTGCTCATTAAAAAATCTGGCTGTGTGTAAGATTACATTTCTTTCTATATAATTCCAGAATGTACTTTTCAGTTTTTAATTTAGTTTTTATTATTGTAGCTGCAAGGCTTTCTCAAATGTCAGTAACCATTGGTTGTCCATTCCTATTTAAGAATGAAGACCAGACTGGGCATGGTGGCTCATGCCTGTAATCCCAGCATTTTGGGAGGCTGAGGTGGGAGGATTGCCTAAGCCCAGGCATTTGAGACCAGCCTGGGCAAAATGGTGAAACCTCGTCTCTACAAAAAAATAAAAAAATTAGTTGGGCATGGTGGCACACACCTGTAGTCTCAGCTACTTGGGAGGCTGAGGTGGGAGAATCGCTTAAGCCCAGAAGATTGAGGCTGCAGTGAGCTGTATGTTGTGTTTATACCACTGCACTCCAGCCTGGGTGACAGAGTGAAACCCTATCTCAAAAAAAAAAAAAAAAGATAGACCAGACATAACAATAATGAATAGGTATACAGCTAACAGGAGAGCCCCCAAAATATATGAAGTAACAGCGGGCAGAATTGAAGAAAATAATAGAGAATTTAGAAACAATAGTTGGAGTCTTCAATACCCACTTTCAATGATGAATAGACAACTAGACAGGAGAGCAACAAGAAAATTAAACAACAGTATAAACCAACTAGACCTAACAGATATTTGTAGAATATTCCACCCATTAACAACAGAATACACATTTTTCTTAAGTGCATATACAATATTCTTTTTTTAGAACATTGTTGATGCTAGACCATATGTTAAGCCATAAAACAAGTCTCAATAAATTTAAAGGATTGAAAACATACAAAGTATGTTCTCCAACCACAAGGAGAATAAAATTAGAAATAAGTAACAATAAAAGTTGGAAAATTAACAAATATTTGCAAAGTAAACAACACACTCAAATAACCAATGTGTCAAAAAAGAATTATGAGGAAAGTTTAAAAATATTTTGAGATAAACACAAAAACACTATATATATATATATTTTTTTTTTAATTTAAGTTCTGGGGTACAAGTGCACAACATGCAGGTTTGTTAACATAGGTATACATGTGCCACATTGGTTTGCTACACCCACTAACTCGTCATTTACATTAGGTATTTCTCCTAATGCTATCCCTCCCCCATCCCTCCACTGCACGACAGGCCCCAGTGTGTGATGTTCCCCACCCTGTGTCCAAGTGTCCTCATTGTTCAATTCCCACCTATGAGTGAGAACATGTGGTGTTTGGTTTTCTATCCTTGTGATAGTTTGCTGAGAATGATGGTTTCCAGCTTCATCCATGTCGCTGCAAAGGATATCAACTCATCCTTTTTTATGGCTGCATAGTATTCCATGGTGTATATGTGCTACATTTTTTTCTTAATCCACTCTATCATTGATGGACATTTGGGTTGATTCCAAGTCTTTGCTATTGTGAATAGTGCCGCAATAAACATGCGTGTGCATGTGTCTTTATAGTAGTATGATTTATAATCCTTTGGGTATATACCCAGTAATGGGATTGCTGGGTCAAATGGTATTTCTAGTTCTAGATCCTCGAGGAATCACCACACTGTCTTCCACAGTGGTTGAACTAGTTTACACTCCCACCAACAGTGTGAAAGCGTTCCTATTTCTCCACATCCTCTCCAGCATCTATTGTTTCCTGACTTTTTAATGATTGCCATTCTAACTGGTGTGAGGTGGTATCTCACTGTGGTTTTGATTTGCATTTCTCTGATGACCAGTGATGATGAGCATTTTTTCATGAAAAAACACAATATATTATACCTAAACTTGCAGGATACAGCTAACGTAGCACTTAGAGGGAAATTTATAGCTACACACAACCATATTGAAAAAGAAGTAGGCCGGGCATGGTGGCTTATGCCTGTAATCCCAGCACCTTGGGAGGCCAAGGCGGGCGGATCACAAGGTCAGGAGATCGAGACCATCCTGGCTAACACGGTGAAACCCCGTCTCTACTAAAAAATACAAAAAAATTAGCCAGGTGTGGTGGCGGGTGCCTGTAGTCCCAGCTACTCGGGAGGCTGAGGCAGGAGAATGGCGAGAACCCAGAAGGCAGAGCTTGCAGTGAGCTGAGATCGTGCCACTGCACTCCAGCCTGGGCGACAGAGCGAAGACTCCATCTCAAAAAAAAAAAAAAAATAATAAAAAGAAGAAAGATCTCAAATTAAGAACCTAATCTTCGATCTTAAGAGACTAGAAAAAGAAGAGAAAACTAAGTCTGAAGCAAGTATAAGGAAGGAACTAATGAAGATTAGAGTGGGCCAGGTGCAGTGGCTCAAGCCCGTAATCTCAGCACTTTGGGAGGCTGAGGCAGGTGGATTGCTTGAGCTCAGGAGTTCGACACCAGCCTGGGCAACATGTCAAAACCCCATCTACAAAAAAATACAACAAAATTAGCCAGCTATGGTGGCACATGCCTGTAGTCCCAGCTACTTGGAAGGCTGAGGTGGGAGGATCACTTGAGACTGGGAGGTTGCAGTAAGCTACAATCATGCCACTGCACCCCAGCCTGGGCGACAGAGGGAAACCTTGTCTCAAAAAAAAAAAAAAAAAAAAAAAATTAGAGTAGAAATAAATTGACAGAAAAACAGTAGGGAAAATAATCAACCAAAAGTTAATTCTTTGAGAAGATCAGCAAAATTCACGTACCTATAGCTAGACCGAGAACATAAAAAAGAGAGAAACTACAAATTATAAATTATGAGAATTGAGAATGAAAGAGAATACATTATTATTTCAATTCTTCTTATTATAAGAAATACTTGGAATACGATTGTTTATAGTATTCCAACAAATTAGATGAAATGGAAAAATTTCTGGAAAGACAAAAACTACTAAAACTGACTCAAGAAGAAGTAGAAAATCTTGATAAATCTATAACAAGTGATGACATTGAATTAATCATAATAAAAAACTTTTTTCAAAGGGAATCCCAAGCCCAGATGGCTTCACTGTTGAACTTCACCAAACACTTAAGCAAGTATTAACTTCCTTAGGAAGTCGTCATTTGGAGACTCTTCTAAAAAATAGAAGCTGGGAAATGTCCCCACTCTTTCTACGGGATCAGCATTATCCTGATTCTAAAACTAGACAGACATCCCAAGAAAAGAAAACTATAGACCAATATCCATTAAGAACACAGACACAACAATCCTCAACAAAATACTATCAATATAAATCCAGCAACATATGGAAAGGATCATAATCCATGGCCAAGTGGGATTTTGCTAGGCATGTAAGGATGAGTCAACATAGAAAAATAAATCAATGTAAAACAACATACGGCTGGATGCGGTGGCTCACGCCTGTAATCCCAGCACTTTGGGAGGCCGAGGCGGGCGGATCACGAGGTCAGGAGATCGAGACCATCCTGGCTAACATGGTGAAACCCCGGCTCTACTAAAAATACAAAAAAAAAAAAAAATTAGCTGGGCGTGGTGGCATGCGCCTGTAGTCCCAGCTACTTGGGAGGCTGAGGCAGGAGAATGGCGTGAACCCAGGAGGTGGAGCTTGCAGTGAGCTGAGATCATGCCACTGCACTCCAGCCTTGGCGACAGAGTGAGACTCTGTCTCAACAACAACAACAACAACACAAAACATACTAGTAGAATAAAAGACAAAAGCCACATGATATTCTCAATAGACAAAGAATGACAGAACAGGGAGACAGAATTAATACGTGAATTATATAGCTTTTATACATAAATGGGGCTCATCACTGGGCCAACAGACACAACTAACTCCTTTATTATTTCCTGGCATTTTGTTCTACCTTAGAGCAGAGCTCTTCTGATATTTTGCCTATGGGTGAATTTTACACTTGTTTGACTTAATGGGAAGGGGATGAAAATATAATGGGAAGGGGGTGAAAATACCTGGTATCTCCATGATTGGCCTCTTTAATTTTGCTGTCCAGCTCTTGCTGATCTTTGAGGCCATCTATAGGAATACTAAAGATGGTGGCATTTTCCATGTTATCTTTTGATGCCTTTTCATCTACTTTTTTATGTCGTCTAGAAACTTGCTGAAATCTGACATCTCTTTTTTTTTTTTTTTTTTTTTTGATGGAGTCTCGCTCTGTCTCCCAGGCTAGAGTGCAGTGGCATGATCTTGGCTCACTGCAAACTCCACCTCCTGGGTTCAAGAGATTCTCCTGCCTCAGCCTCCCGAGTGACTGGGATTACAGGTGTGTGCCACCAAACCTGGCTAATTTTTGTATTTTTAGTAGAGATGGGGTTTCACCAAGTTGGCCGGTTTGGTCTTGAACTCCTGACCTCAAGGGACCCACCTGCCTCAGCCTCTCAAAGTGCTGGGATTACAGGCGTGAGCCACCAAGCCTAGCCATCTGACATCTCTTGATGGTCTCTAATTTATTTTCATTTTTGTTTTGTGCTTATATTTTTTATATTTCTCTTATTATTTTAATTGGGTTTCTTTAAGGAGAGAGAAATTAACTGTCTTTGAGAACCAAGTTCCACTGAAGAAATTTATTTTCTTAAGATAATGAGTGATACTTCAGAGTATACTCTCTTTTTTCTCCAAGTAGAGGGTTACTGGGTTCTGGTTCTGGTAAGAAATCTTGTCACTTTTATCCTGGAGAAGTAAAGTGGTTTGTCAGGAATCCAAACATAACAGCCATGGTAATTTGAGAGAATTTACAATAACAGCTGTAGGAGAGTGAATCCTTAGAGCTAAATTTGACTTTTCCTGCATTTTATAGTAAAGGAAATTGCATTTTAGAGATAAGAAGGGTTCATGGTCACAAAACCAGTTGGTAACAGTCCTTGGAGGAACATTCCTGTTTCCCAACCTGTGCTCCTTGCACTGTACCATACTGTCATCACTGAGCACTCTTTCTCACATGCACTGGTGTGCTATGTGGCATCTATTACAGTGGTGAAGGGCACTGCAGGTATTAGGAGCATGGGCTCTGTGGTAAAGCAGATCTGGCCTGACATGTAGCTATGTGACATTGGTCAAGTTGAAGATTTTTTCATTTCAGTGTCTTCATGTAAAAACAGGGATTGCTGTATTTTGAATGTTTCCCCTCCAAAATTCAGGTGTTGAAACTTAATGGCCAATAAAGTGATAGTATCAAGAGGTGGGGCTTTTAAGTGGTGAATAGGCCATGAGGGCTCCTCCTTTATAAATGGGATTAATGTGCTTATATAAAAGAGTTCACACAGTATTCAATTCAGTCACCCTTTAGCCTTCCACCCTATGAAGACACAGCGTTCCTCTCTGGATGTTGCAGCAACGAGGCACCATATTGGAAGGGGAAACCACGCCCTTCACTAGACACTAAATCTCTAGCACCTTCATCCTGGATTTTCAGCTTCCAGAACTGTGAGAAATAAATTTGTGTTCTTTACAAATTACCCTATGGTATTTTGTTATAGTGGCACAAATGGACTAAGACAGGGACAGTAAGAGTACGCATCATATAGGCTTGTGATATAAATGCTTTTCACAGAACTTGGTACAAGGCAATTGTCTTACAGGTATTGGCAGTTATGAATTGCTATCCAAGACTAGAAACTTACTGGGCCTGGATGACTCAGATAACTTAAGGGTCATCTAGTTCAGTCTTCCAGCCAGTGCTTCAATTCGTCTACAATGTCTCCATCAAGAGATTGGCTGTTTTCTTCTTCCTTTTTTTTGAGATGGAGTCTCGCTCTGTTGCCCAGGCTGGAGTGCAGTGGTGCTATCTTGGCTCACTGCAAGCTCCGCCTTCTGTGTTCACGCCATTCTCCTGCCTCAGCCTCCCGAGTAGCTGGGACTACAGGCGCCCACCACCATGCCCGGCTAATTTTTTTGTATTTTTAGTAAAGATGGGGTTTCACCGTGCTAGCCAGGTTGGTCTCGATCTCCTGACCTCGTGATCCACCTGCTTCAGCCTCCCAAAGTGCTGGGATTACAGGCGTGAGCCACTGTGCCCGGCCGACTGTTTTCTTTTGAACACCTACAATGACAGGAGCACTCAGGACCATCTGAGGCAGCCTATTCAATTTAAATGGTTTTCAAGCTTATTTTCTTTCATGATAAACTTTTAAATATGACTATTAAATCAGGATAATACAGAAAAGTAGAAGGCAGAAAACTCAATGCTTGTCATCCATTTGTCAGGGACAACACTTCGGTGCCTCTTGTCCAGTATTTACAAGACAATCATTTTTTTCGCAGTCATGTGGTGTAATGTTCAAGAGTTTATAGGAACATATTTTTTTGCTCAGTATATAAAACTTGGGAAATACAGGGAATGTAAATTCTCTAGCTTCCTTCAACCCAGAGAGAGCTCTGCTTACGTTCGTGAGGCGGCCGGGGCAGCCAAGGGCGGTGGTTAAAAGGGTGTATTTAAAGTCAGACAACCCTGAGGGACCATGGGAAAACTTCTCAAATCTCTCCTTAAGTCTCAGCTTTCTCATTTTTTAATGGCTTCTGTCTTTTCTTTTAAAGTGAGGTGAAGGAGAGCGGCGGCGGCGGCGCGGGTCGGCAGCGGGAGGGCGCGCGGCGGGGCGGAGGCGGAGGCGGAGTCGGCGCCGAGAACATGGCCGGAGGCAAAGCTGGAAAGGACAGTGGGAAGGCCAAGGCTAAGGCAGTATCTCGCTCACAGAGAGCTGGGCTACAGTTTCCTGTGGGCCGCATCCACAGACACTTGAAGACTCGCACCACAAGCCATGGAAGGGTGGGTGCCACTGCTGCCGTGCACAGGGCTGCGATTCCGGGGTACCTCACTGCAGAGGTGCTGGAGCTGGCAGGTAATGCTTCTAAGGGTCTCAAAGCAAAGCGTATCACTCCGCGTCACTGGCAGCTTGCAGTCCGTGGTGATGAAGAGTTGGATTCTCTTATCAAGGCTACCACAGCTGGGGGTGGCGTGATCCCCTCACATCCACAAATCTCTGACTGGAAAGAAGGGACAGCGGAAAACTGCTTAGAGGGATGCTTTAACCAACCCTCTTCCTCCCCGTCATTGTACTGGAACTGGGACAGAAGAAATAATGGGGATATGTGGAATTTTTAACAACAGTTAAATGGAAAAGCATAGACAATTACTGTAGACATGATAAAAGAAACATTTGTACGTTCTTAGACTCGAAGTTTGATAAAAGTACCTTTTCATGTGGTGAAAAAAAAATAAAGTGAGGTGAAATTCAGATAACATATAATTAGCTCCTTTAAAGAGTAGAATTCAGTGGCAGCTAGAGTATTTGTAATATTGTGCAAACAGCACCCTCTAACAATTTTTCAACACCCCAAAAGAAACACCTCATAAGCATTAAGTAATCACTCCCACTTCCCCTTTCTCCCATCCTCTAGTAATTACTAATCTGCTTTCTGTGCCTATGGATTTGCTCACTCTGGAAGTATCATAAAAGGAATCATATAATATGTGAGCTTTTATGCCTGGCTTCTTTTACTCAGCATAATGTTTTCAAGGTTCATTTGTGCTGTAGTATATATCAGTTATTAGATCCTTTTTTTTTTTTTTTGAGACAGAGTTTCACTCTTGTCCCCCAGCTTGGAGTGCAATGGCACGATCTCAGCTCACTGCAACCTCCGCCTCTGGGGTGCAAGCGATTCTTGTGCCTCGGCCTCCTGAGTAGCTGGGATTACAGGCACGTGCCACCACGCCTGGCTAATTTTTGTATTTTTAGTAGAGACAGTGTTTCACCGTGTTGGCCAGGCTGGTCTCGAACTCCTGACCTCAAGTGATCCGCTTTCCTCAGCCTCCCAAAGTGCTAGGACTACAGGTGTGAGCCATCTCTCCCAGCCAGATCATTTTTCTCATAGCTGAATAATAGTCCATTGTGCAGATATACCACAATTTGTCTATCTATTCATCTACTGATGGACATTTGGGTTGTGGTTGTTTGGCTCATGTTTTTTGTGTTCCATTTAAGAAATTCCTGGCTAACACAAAGTCACAAAGATTTTCTATATTTTCTTGAAGAAGTTTTCTACTTTGAACTCTTAAGGTTTATAATCAGTTTCTAGTTCAATTTTATGTGTAGTGTGAGATAAATGTGAGATGCTCTTTGCAGCAACATGGCTACAGCTGGAGGATATTATTGAGGTGTTGAGGTTCATTATCATTTTTTTTTTTAACTTTTAGGTTCAGGGGTACATGTGCAGGTTTGTTTTGTAGGTAAATTGTGTGTCACAGGGAAGGTTCATTATTTTATTTTATTTTTATTTATTTATTTTTGAGACAGAGTTTTGCTCTTGTTGCCCAGGCTAATTTTGTATTTTTAGTAGAGACAGGGTTTCTCCATGTTTGTCAGGCTGGTCTTGAACTCCCAACTTCAGGTCGTCTGCCCACCTCGGCCTCCCAAAGTGCTGGGATTACAGGTGTGAGCCACTGTGCCCGGTCTCATTATTTTATTTATTAATTTTTTTGAGACGAAGTTTTGCTCTTGTTGCCCAGGCTGGAGTGCAGAGTGGTGCGATCTCGGCTCACTGCAACCTCCGCCTCCAGGTTCAAGTGATTCTCCTGCCTCAGCCTCCTGAGTAGCTGAGATTACAGACATGCACCACCACGCCTAGCTAATTTTTGTATTTTTAGTAGAGACGGGGTTTCACCATGTTGGCCAGACTGATCTCGAACTCCTGAACTCAGGTGATCCACCCACCTCGGCCTCCCAACGGGCTGGGATTACAGGTGTGAGCCAGTGCACCTGGCCTGGGTTCATCATTTTTTCATGCAGATAACCAATTATTTCAGGACCATTAGTTGGACTGTTTAAAAAAATTTTTTTCAACTTTTATTTTAGTTTCAGGGGGTACAGGTGCAGGTTTGTTACATGGGTACATTGCATGTCACTGAAGTTTGGTGTACAAATGATCTTGTCACCCAGGTAGTGAGCATAGTACTCAATAAGGAGTTTTTCAACACTCTTCCTCCTTCCACCCTCCCCCTTCTAGTAGCCCTGGTGTGTATTGTTCCCTTCTTCATCTCCACATGTACTAAATGTTTAGTTCTCACTTAGAAGTGAGAACATGTGGTATTTGGTTTTCTGTTCCGGTGCTAATTTGCTTAGGATAATGTCCTCCAGCTGCATCCATGTTGCTGAAAGGACATGATTTTACTCCTTTTTATGGCTGCATAGGATTCTATGTTGTGTATGTATCATATTTTCTTTTTTCTTTTTTTTTTTTGAGATGGAGTTTCGCTCTTGTTGCCCAGGCTGAAGTGCAATGGCGCGATCCAGGCTCACTGCAACCTCTTCTTCCTGGATTCAAGCGATTCTCCTGTCTCAGCCTCCCACGCAGCTGGGATTACAGGCATGCACCATGACGCCTGGCTAATTTTTTGTATTTTTAGTAGAGACGGGGTTTCTCCATGTTGGTCAGGCTGGTCTTGAACTCCTGACCTCAGGTGATCTGCCTGCCTCGGCCTCCCAAAGTGGCAAGATTATAGGTGTGAGCCACCGCACCTGGCTACCACATTTTCTTTATCCAGTCCACTGCTGATAGACATCTAGGTTGATTCCATGTCTTTGCTATTGTGAATAGTGCTGTGATGAACATCTGAGTGCATGTCTTTTTGTAGAGCAATTTATTTTCTTTTAGATATATACCCAGTAATGGGATTGCTGGGTCAAATGGCAGTTCCACTTTAAGTTCTTTGAGAAATCTCCAAACGATTTCCACAGTGGCTGAACTAATTTACATTCCCACCAACAGTGTAAAAGTGTTCACTTTCTCTGCAGCCTCATCAGCATCTGTTGTTTTGTAACAATGGGCATTATGACTGGTGTGAGATGGTATTTCATTGTGGTTTTGATTTGCATTTCTCTGATAATTAGTGATGTGGAACATTTTTTCATACGTTTCTTGGCCACTTGTATATCTTTTTTTGAGAAGGGTCTGTTCATGTCTTTTGCCCATTTTTATATTTATTTATTTATTTATTATTTATGTATTTATTTATTTTTGAGACGGAGTTTCACTCTGTCAGGCAGGCTGGAGTGAAGTGGTGCGATCTTGGCTCACTGCAACCTCTGCCTCCCCAGTTCAAGCAATTCTTCTGCCTCAGCCTCCCAAGTTGCTGGGATTATAGGTGCCTGCCACCATGCCTGGCTTCTTTTGCCCTTTTTTTTTTTGAGACCAAGTTTTGCTCTTGTTGCCCAGGCTGGAGTGCAAAGGTGTGATCTCGGCTCACTGCAACCTCCGGCTCCTGGGTTCAAGCAATTCTCCTGTCTCAGCCTCCCGACTAGCTGAGATTACAGGCATGCTCCAGCACGCCCGACTAATTCTGTATTTTTAGTAGAGATGGGGTTTCTCCATGTTGGTCAGGCTGGTCTTGAACTCCTGACCTCAGGTGATCCACCAGCCTTGGCCTCCCGAAGCGCTGGGATTACAGGTGTGAGCCACTGTGCCTGGCCTCTTTTGCCCATTTTAAATTTTGATTATTATTATTTTTGAGACAGAGTTTCGCTCTTGTTGCCCAGGTTGGAGTGCAATGGCGCAATCTTGGCTCACCACAACCTCCGCCTCCCAGGTTCAAGCGATTCTCCTACTTCAGCCTCCTGAGTAGCTGGGATTTCAGGCATGCGCCACCATGCCTGGCTAATTTTTTGTATTTTTAGTAGAGATGAGTTTTCTCCATGTTGGTCAGGCTGGTCTTGAACTCCCAACTTCCAGTGATCTGCTTGCCTCGGCCTCCCAAAGTGCTAGGATTACAGGCGTGAAGCACCATGCCTGCCCCCTTTTGCCCATTTTTAAATGGTGTTACTTGTTTTTCACTTGTTCAATAGTTTAAGTTCCTTATAGATTCTGGATATAAACCTTTGTCAGCTGCATAGTTTGTGAATTTTTTCCTCCATTCTGTAGGTTGTCTGTTCACTCTGTTGACAGTTTCTTCTGCTATGCAGATGCTCTTCAGTTTAATTAGATCCCACTTGTCAATATTTGTTTCTGTTGCAATTGCTTTTGAGGACTTAGTCATAATTTCTTTCCCAAGGCTGATGTCCAGAATGGTGTTTCCTGGGTTTTCTTCTAGGAGTCTTTGTTGGACGTCTTACGTTTAAATCTTTAATGCATCTAGCATATGGTGAAAGGTTGAGGTCTAGTTTCATTCTACTGCATATGAGTGGCCAGCTATCTCAGCACCATTTAGTGATATATGTCTATACTTTTTCCAATACTACTGTCTTGATTACTGTAGCTTTCGCATAAATCTTGAAATTAGTGTAAGTCTTCTAATTTTGTTGATCCTTTAAAAAATTGTTTTGGCTATTATAGGTCATTTGCATATATATATATTTTTTGAGACAGAGTTTTTGCTCTTGTCCCCCAGGCTGGAGTGCAATGGTGCCATCTCGGCTCACCACAACCTCTGCCTCCCAGGTTCAAGCGATTCTCCTGCCCTAGCCTCCCGAGTAGCTGGGATTACAGGCATGTGCCTCCATGCCTGGCTAATTTCGTATGTTTAGTAGAGACGGGGTTTCTCCATGTTGGTCAGGCTGGTCTCGAACTCCTGACCTCAGGTGATCTGCCTACCTCGGCCCCTCAAAGTGCTAGGATTACAGGCGTGAGCCACTGTGCCCGGCCTCTGTTTATATTGTACAATCAGTTTGTCAATTGAAAAAAAACCTCCTGGGATTTTGATTGAATTTCTATATAGCATTTTGGGGAGAAATGTATGTAAATAATATTGAGCCATCTGATATGTAAACAAAATATATCTCTTCATTTTTCTAAGTCTTTTAAAATTTACTTCAGCCATGTTTTATAGTTTTCAGTGTACTTGTCTTGCACATAGTTTGTTAAATTTTCTCTAAATATTTCATGTTTGGTGATGCTATTATAAATGTTTTTACACATTTGATTTCCAGCTGTTCATTGCCAGTGTATAAAAATACTTTGGAAGGCCGACGTGGGGGGATTGCCTGAGCCTAGGAGTTTGAGATCAGCATGGGCAACACAGGGAGACACTGCCTGTACAAAAACTTAAAACAATTAGGTGGGTGTGGTGACTTGTGCCTATAGTCCCAGCTACTGGGGAGGTTGAGGTGGGAGGATCGCTGGAGCCTGGGAGGTCGAGACTGCAGAGAGCAGTGATCATGCCATTGCACTCCAGCCCAGGTGACAGAGCGAGACCCTGTCTCAAGAGGAAAAAAGAATTTTTTATATTGATCTCAGATCTTAAAACGTTGTTAAACTCATTCAGTTCTAGTGCATTTTTGTTGCTATCTTAGGATTTTGTGCATAGATGAATATGCATACTAATGAAGTTCATTTTACTTCTTCTTTTTCTATTTGCATGCCTTTTTATTTCCCTTTTTTGCCTTCTTGAACTGACTGTCAACTCCAGTATAATGGTGAATAGAAAAGGCGAGGGCAAACATCCTTGTTTTGTTTTTGATTTCGGGGAGAAAGCATTCAGTTTTCACCAGTAAACATGATATTAGTTGTAGTCTCATCAGTTGAATGGAGGTAATTTTTATTTATTTTTATATTTTATTTTTTTTGAGATGGAGTCTTTGCTCAGTTGCCCAGGCTGGAGTGCAGTGGTGTGGTCTCAGCTCACTGCAAACTCTGCCTCCCAGGTTCATGCCATTCTGCTGCCTCAGCCTCCCGAGTAGCTGGGACTACAGGTGCCCGCCACCATGCCCAGCTAATTTTTTGTATTTTTAGTAGAGACGGGGTTTCACCATGTTAGCCAGGATGGTCTCGATCTCTTGACCTCGTGATTCACCCGCCTCGGCCTCCCAAAGTGCTGGGATTACAGGCGTGAGCCACCGCGCCCAGCTGAATGGAGGTAATTTTTTACATTATTAGGCATGAGACCAGTTTTGGTCATTATGACCCTTTATGATCTTGAGAGAAATTTAGAAGAAGATGGGGGACTGGGTGCGGTGGCTCACACCTGTAATCCCTGCCCTTTGGGAGGCTAAGGCGGGTGGATCACCTGAGGTCAGGAGTTTGAGACCAGCCTGACCAACATGGTGAAATCTCGTCTCTACCAAAAATACAAAATTAGCCGGTGTCATGGTGCATGCCTGTAATCCCAGCTACTCGGGAGGCTGAGGCAGGAGAATCGCTTGAACCCAGGAGGAGGAGGTTGCAGTGAGCCGAGATGGCACCATTGCACTCCAGCCTGGGCAACAAAAGCGAAACTTCGTCTCACACACACACACAGACACACACACACACAAAAGGAAGAAGACAGGGGATACTCTGGCTGGTAGTCACTATTTCAGATCAGGTGCCCTGGGAAGCAGGCTCTGAGACAGATATTTGCATGCAGAGGTTTACTGGGGAGTGCTCTTGGAATTAACACCTGTGGGGTTGGCCAGAGGGAGAATTTGAACTGCAGCAGTCTCAGTGAAGGCCTCTGCTGATTCCACGGAGAGTTAGTTCTGGAGCTGGGATGACCCTGCGTAATTGTCCCAAATTAAAGCTGAAGATAGCTGCCTCACCCAATCATGTTGATTCTCCAAGCTTCCTTTTTTGCAAGTCCCAAGCGTCTTGTGATACGTTGGAGTTGGGCTTGTCTAGTTATCTTGGTACTTGGTTTCATATCTCATGTCTAGAAACAGAGATCAAATACTCAGAATTGCAAAGATTGTAGATAGCATTTAGTGACAAAGTAAAAGTCTTTTTAAGACTTTTTCACCAGGTGGCTTTCTTTAGTAGATGACGAGAGAGAATATTATAAAATCTGTAATATTCCCAAGGCAGACTGATGCAGAGTTGAACACTGCATTACACTGAAGCAGCTAAGGCTCCAGACCCACAGGACTGAGTTGGGTGGCCTAGAATTCCCACCAAGTTCCTACTGAAAGTTATCCTAACATCTACCTCATAGGGCTATTATGAAGGTTAAATGAACTAATTCTTCGAAAATGCTTGCGTGCTGCCTGGCACATAAGCCCCCAGTAAATGTCAACTATTATTGTTATCAATATCCTTAGAATACTTTTCTTTGCAATTTGTATATAATGAAAATATACTGCATGTATTTATTTTTAAGCAAAGTGAACACAGGAGGAAATAAGGTCTTAGATAAATAATTGTAAAATGAAACCTGATGACAGATAATCTGTTACTGATGATTAATTTCTCTTCAACAATTACAAATACTAGCAACTTGGTTCTTAAAAATAATGTTTTAGGCCAGGTGCGGTGGTTCATATGTGTAATCCCAGCACTTTGGGAGGCCGAGGTAGGCGGATCACAAGGTCAGGAGTTCGAGACCAGCCTGGCCAACATGGTGAAACCCCATCTCTACTAAAAATACAAAGAATAGCTGGGCTTGGTGGCGCATGCCTGTAATCTCAGCTACTCAGGAGGCTGAGGCGGGAGAATAGCTTGAACTCAGGAGGCGGAGGATGCAGTGAGCCGAGATCGCGCCACTGCACTCTAGCCTGAGCAACAGAGTGAGATTCCATCTCAAAAAAAAAAGTTTTAAAATTTAATTAAAAATTTAAATTATGAAAATATTCAAACATACACAAAGATAGAGAATAATTAGAGGAACCCCCATATATCCTTTACCCAGAATCAATAATTATCAGTTTTTCCCATAAAACATCTATTCCTCTTTTTATTTTACTTTCAAAAAGAAATTCAAGTAATTATACCATTTTGCCCTCATATATTTTAGTATGCATCTCTAACAAATTTGGTGTCATCTAGTAGCCGGTCTACAATACAATTTCTTTTATTGTCTAAAAAATGTCTTATTTAAAAAGGTTTGTTTAAATTAGGATGCAAACAAGGTTAACACATTTGTTTGTTGTCTCTTAATTCTGTTAAGAACTCGAGCAATTCCCCCACCCCACCCTCTCTTTCGCTACCATTGTCATGTTCCAAAAACTGGGTCGATTGTCCTACAGAATAGCCCACATTTTGGATTTGTTAGTTTGATTCCTTGTGCTGTCATTTAACTATTCCCATGTCTCTTGTATTTTATTTTACAATTATTTATCTTTAAAGGATTTTTTTTAAAACTACTTTATTGAGATATGACTGACACATAAGAAGCTGCACATATTTAATGTATACATCTCGATGAGTTTCGGGAAAGTATACATTAGAGAAACCATCTCTACCATCAAAATTTAAAGGCTTTTCTTTTCTAGTTAAAGTACATAATCTGGTTCTTGTGAAAAATTTAAAAAATTTAAAGAGCTACAATTGGTAATGTGGAGAGACATTATCAAGTCTGCCATAATCCCATACCTAGAGATAATCACTGTTAATTGTCTGGCATACATTCAGCCAGACTTTTTTCTTCACTCAGTGAGAAAATCACTTCTCAAGTTATTTAGCAATGAAATTAGTCATTGTGTGATTCCTTATTGCAACTCTGTTTTCCTGGAGATTATTCAGAGAGTCTTTGTACAGTGTCTCAGTCCTGTAAGAATTTTAGCCATTGTTAGAAAGCGCTGGGGCAAGACCACATAGTTATTGTTTTAAGTTAATCGAACATGGGAGATTGGTTATGCATTGCAGGGTGAAGAATGTAGCAATGGGTAAGGAGTAGATACAGAATGAGAAAAGTTGAGGGAATCATGAAGGACCAAACCTTACCTTGAACTCTAGAATCTATCAGATAAGACATGATTTAATAAGATTAATTTGATGCCCAGCAGAGGCAGAAAAGACCCATTAATCCAGTATTTAAATAACAAGAAGAGTTTTGTCAAACTGTCTGTCTCTCTGGAGATTCTAAGTCTCCCATTCTCCTCTCCCATTCTAGGAGTGGGCTATGGGTAGGATCCATACTATGATCTCTCTTAGTGTCTGCCAACTGAAAATTTTTTTAAAAATCAGATTATTCTATTGTGCATGACTTCCTTTGTTCAAGTGGAAGCATTACATGATTCCTTTTATAACACGTTTCGATTTTTAAATTCTTTACATGTACATATATACAATTTTTATTTTTTATTTTTAAAATTTATTTTTCTGTATTTTGTTTCATTTTTAGTTCTTAATTTTGACTTCTTTCAGTTGGTTTTAATATATCTTTGAATATTTCTTTCTAAAAGCAATGTGAAGGATATGTTTTCTCATCCTTGGACATCTGAGAATACCTTTCTGTTGCCTTTATACATGAAAAATCTTTTGAATAGATTTAAAAATATTTGATTATAACATTTCTGCTCAAAATTTAGTAGATAGTACTACGTCATCTTTTGGGACTTACTGCAGCACGAACGTTGAACACGCGTACATTTTATTCCTTTATAAGTGACTTCTTCATTCTCCTAGGATTTATGCAGGAGCTTCTTTGGTTGGTTTCTTTTTTGTTTTTTAAATTGTTTTCTGAGATACATTTAGACATGTGATCTAGATACTTCCTGTGTGCCCTTCCACTGTGCTATGGGTTGTGGGATTTTTTTATAGACTGAATCAATGGGCTCTTGTGGCTTTGAGCTTCTGGTTCACGGAGGCACTGGCAGAAGATCAAGGACAGCAAATAGAGTGAGGTCAGGCCTTCTACAACTCTCTCTCTGGGTGCCGATACCTTGTCCTCCTCTTGCCTCTTCAGGCCTATGGGTGATAGTGGCTTTAAATGTTTGGCTGATTCTGTCTGGATCTCCTTTTATTGATAATTCCAGGAACTTGGTGAGTACTATTAAATTTCAATGTCCTATCTTCAAGGTCACTGATTATTTCTTCTGTTGTGTCCAAACTACTCTTAAGCTATTCAGTGTTTTTTGCCTTGTTTTGCAATTTCATATATTGTATTTTTCAGTTCTAGATTTCCATTTGGTTGCTTGTTTTAGATTTTCCATTTCTTTACTAATGATTTAATTTGTTTATCTGCTATGACCGTATTGTCCTTTAAGTCTATGAAGATTTTTTAAAAATTTATTTTAAATTTATTTTTTTTGAGACAGAGTCCCACTCTGTCACCCAGGCGGGAGTGCAGTGGCACCACCTCGGCTCACTGCAACCTCCGCCCCCCAGGTTCAAGTGATTCTCCTGCCTCAGCCACCCGAGTAGCTGGGATTACAGGAGTGTGCCACTATGGCTGGCTAATTTTTGTATTTTTAGTATAGACAGGGTTTCACCATGTTGGCCAGGTTGGTCTTGAACTCTTGACCTCAAGTGATCCTCCTGCCTTGGCCTTCAAAGTGCTGCAATTACAGGTGTGAGCCATTGCTCCTGGCCTGAAGATATTTATAACAGACATTTTTAAGTTTTTGTTTGATAATTCCAACTTCTGGGTCATTTTGAGACTGGTTTCTATTGACTTATTTTTCTTTCTCATGGGTCTCCTTTTCCTTTGTCATCCATCACTTATCTAGTAATTTTTAAACTGTATACTGGACATTGTGGGAGATGTGCTGAAGAGCATCATCAAGAAAACATCAAGTATGTTTTCTACCTTGAGGAATGTTAAGCATTGTTCTTGAAGGTAGTTCACTTGCTTTATATCACCTTAGTTTTGTTGGAGGCATAATTGTATGCCTTGTTAGTGCAGGTCTACTATGGTTTTATCTTTACTCCTAAAGTGAATATCTTAGTTTTGGGAGGTGGTCTTTGCTTCTAAAATGTTGTCTTTCTAAATTATAGATGACCTGAACAAATGGAAACACATCCCATGCTCTTTGATGGGTAGAATCAATGTGAAAATGACCATATTGCCAAAAGCAATCTACAAATTCAATGCAATTCCCATCAAAATACCACCGTAATTCTTCACAGAACTAGAAAAACCAATCCTAAAATTCATATGGAACCCAAAAACAGCCTGCATAGCCAAAACAAGACTAAGCAAAAAAAAAAAAAACAAATCTGGAGGCATCACATTATCTGATTTCAAACTATACTACAAGGCCATAGTCACCAAAACAGCATGGTACTGGTATAAAAATAGGCATATAGACCAATGGAACAGAATAGACCACCCAGAAATAAACCCAAATACTTACAGCCAGCCGATCTTTGACAAAGCAAACAAAAACATAAAGTGGGTAAACAACACCCTGTTCAACAAATGGTGCTGGGATAATTGGCAAGCCACATGTAGGGGAATAAAACACGATCCTCATCTCTCACCTTATATAAAAAGCAACTTAAGATGGATCAAGGACTTAAACCTAAGACCTGAAACTAAAAATTCTAGAAGATAACATCAGAAAAAACCCTTCTAGACATTGGCTTAGGCAAAGATTTCCTGACCAAGAATCCAAAAGCAAATGCAATACCAACAAAACATTACTATGTTTTTGCATCTATGCAAAGGCATAAGAATGATATAAT
Source organism: Homo sapiens (assembly GCF_000001405.40). Taxonomy (NCBI): domain Eukaryota; kingdom Metazoa; phylum Chordata; class Mammalia; order Primates; family Hominidae; genus Homo; species Homo sapiens. Next base: position 92,722,517 of record NC_000015.10, on the reverse strand, counting down.
AAACTTTGGGGACTCAGAGGGAAAGGGTGGGAAGAAGGTGAGGGATAAAAGACTACAAATTGTGTGCAGTGTATACTGCTTGGGTGATGGGTGCACCAGAATCTCACAAATCAACGGTAAAGAACTTACTAATGTAACCAAATACCACCTGTTCCCCAAAAAACTATGGAAATTAAAAACAAAACCAAACAAACAAACAAACAAAACCACTGGGTGTGTTGGCTCATGCCTGTAATCCTAGCACTTTGGGAGGCCGAGGTGGATGGATCATTTGAGGTCAGGAGTTTGAGACCAGCCTGGCCAACTTGGTGAAACCCTGTCTCTACTAAAAATACAAAAAATTAGCCGGGCATGGTGGCATGCGCCTGTAGTACCAGCTTCTCAGGAGGCCGAGACATGAGAATTGCTTGAACCCGGGAGGTGGAGGTTGTAGTGAGCCAAGATCTCGCCATTGCACTCCAGCCTGTGTGACGGAGACCCTGTTTACAAAAAAACAAAAACAAAAACAAACAAAACAAGCAAACAAACATTTGGGAGAATAATTTAGGAAAAAAAAAAAAAAGAGTGGTCTCTCTGGGATTTTAATGGAAGACCTGTATTTTTTTTGCCAAGTTTCTTTAACTTGAGTGACTTGATCTCTGAATTCTGTCTTCCCTGTAGTGGGCATGTGCTGAAATCTCAGGTCAGCTCTTTTTTTCTTCCAGCTGTTTCGAACCTTGGGCACTTTGTAGTTTTGATCTGCACACATGCAGTTCAGAGGTCAGCCAACAATACAAGGGGTGATTATATGGAGATGTTAAGTTACTCCCCTTCCTGACTTCTTCCAATCTATAGAATTCTGTGAATCCTCCATTCAATAAGCAGTTGCTTGGGCAAGTCCCTTCTGACTCCACAGACCAACACAACTACAGGCTCTCTGCTTGACCCTATCTGCCATGCTAGACAAACTAGGGCATGTCCTGAGGGCAAGAGCCACGTATGTGTTTGTTGGCCTCACTTGGTGTGATTCACTTTTTTTTCAATGTCAAGTCCCCTTCTTTTTCTGCCTACTGTTGGTCACTCTCCAGTGTCTTTAAACAGCTGTATTTTGTATTTTGTTCAGAGTTTATAATTGTGATCATCAGTAGGAATAGTCTGATGTAAGTGGCTTTGCTATTACTAAGCCATTATTACTATTTATTTATTTATTTATTTTTGAGGTGGAGTCTCACCCTGTCCCCAGTTCAGTGGCGCGATCTTGGCTCACTGCAACATTCACCTCCTGGGTTCAAGCGATTCTCCTCTCAGCCTCCTGAGTAGTTGGGATTATAGGCGTGCGCCACCACGCCCAGCTAATTTTTTGTATTTTTAGCAGAGATGGGGTTTCGTTATGCTGGCCAGGCTGGTCTTGAACTCCCGACCACAAGTGATCCACCTGCCTTGGCCTCCCAAAGTCCTGGGATTACAGGCATGAGCCACTGCACCCGGCCCATTATTATTATATTTTGCTTATATTTTTGAAATATGCTGATATGGTTTGGATTTGTGTCCCCACCCAAATCTCATGTTGAATTGTTGGAGCGTTGGAGATGGGGCTTGGTGGGAGGTGACTGGATTATGGGGGCAGATATCCCCCTTTGGTGCTGTTTTTGTGATGCTGTTTTGTTCTCATGAGATCTGCTTGTTTAAAAGTATGTAGCACTCCCCCGCTCTCTCTCTTCCTCCTGCTTCAGCCACATAAGACGCGCCTGCTTCCCCTTTGCCTTCTGCCATGATTGTGAGTTTCCTGAGGCCTCCCCAGCCATGCTTTTTGTACACCCTGCAGAACTGTGACTCAGTTAAACCTCTTGTCTTTATAAATTACGGAATCTCAGGTATTTATAGCAGTGTGAGAATGGACTAATACATGTCGTCTTGTACTCTTGCCCCCTACAGCCTATTCTCACTCTAGTAGCCAGAGTAATTCTGTTAGACTATGAAGTCTGATAATGTATTCCTTTCCTTATAATCCACCACTGACTACAGTCTCCGTTACAATCCTAAATCTTTGTGTCCTAGTCAGTTCGAGCTGCTGTAACAAATATGCCACAGACTAGGTGGCATAGACAACAGACATGTATTTCTCACAGTTCTGGAGCCTGGAAGTCCAAGATCAAGGTGCCAGCAGATCTGATGTCTGGTGAGGGCCTGTGTCCTGCTTTGCAAATGGCTGTCTTCTCATTGTATCCTCACATGGTGGAGAACAGGGTGAAAGACGCCAGGAAGCTCTCATGTCTCTTCTTAGAAAGGCACTAATCCCATCACTAGGGCTCCACCCTGATGACCTAATCACCTCCAAAAGGCCCCACTTTGTAATACTATCACCTTAGGGGTTAGGATTTCAATATGTGAATTTCGGAGGGGACACAAACTTTCAGTCCATAACACCTTGCAGTCAGCTACACTGCCTTCCAATGTATCCCTCACCCTCACTCTACCTTTTTTCTCTCTTATTATTTTTCATTTTAATCACTGTTCTTGTCAAACTGACCTTCTTGCTATTCTTTGCACTTGCATCAAGGCCTTTTCTCTTTCTGTTCTCTGTTCCTGGAACAGGCTTTCCTCACCCTATTTGAAATTGTAAATCGCTTACGATCTGTTTCCATCTTCCCTGATTGACTTTATCTCCATAGTGTTTATAACCAACTTGTTAATTAACTGTCTTTCCTCATAAGGATGTAAGTTCCATGAAGGCAGGGATTTTTTTGTTGTTGCAGTTTTATAACTTTATTTGATGTATTTGATGATCAATGGTTAGTTGTCATCCACGTTGACTATCAGTAGGTATTTGAAAGTGGTAATAGGTATAGGTAACTGAAGTGTAGAGCTTGTTTGGTGAATCTTCATTCTGATTATGTTTTCTGGACAACTGCACATGGATACAGCATAGGACGTTGCTTATTCCTTTAGCTCAGACAGTTTTGTTGAGCCTGGTATCAATGTGCACTTCTGGAGTCCCCATCGCCTTCATGGCAAATTTCCAGAGGCTTTTGAGTGTGCTCAGGAGGATGCTTCTCGAAACCCACTCCCTGGATGTGCTTGGGAATGTTGATGGTGTATTCTTGGGTTCTCACTCCATTGAGGGCCCTTTTCGCTATCTGTCTTTGCAAGAGCCATTCTGCCTGGCCCGAGTTGGGTAGTAGGCAGGGATTTTTGTTTTGTTTTTTTCTGCATCTGTATTCTCAGGGCCTGGAACAGATGAATGTTGAATGAATCAGGGCATCTTTCTCCACAGGGACTCACATTGGCTCAGCTCCTTAGTACTGAAAACGTATGTCCCAGTCATATGGGACAGCTCCCAGCCACATTGTGAAACTGGCATATTTTGTCTTGGGCTATTTTACTTCATTTCTGTAGTCTTTCCTAAAGCTCCTCCCTTGCAGCACTGATCTCCTGGGACCCCATACTGTGGAATTTGCTAAAATGTCAGTGAATTTGGTGTCTGTGGCATTTATTTTTATCAGAAGTAACTTCAGGCGGCCGGGTGTGTTGGCTCATGCCTGTAATTTTAGCACTTTGGGAGGCCGAGGTGGGTGAATGACTTGAGGTCAGGAGTTTGAGACCAGCCTGGTCAACATGGTAAAACCCCATCTCTACTAAAAATTCAAAAATTAGCTGGGCGTGCTGGCGGCTGCCTGTAATCACAGCTACTTGGGAGGCTGAGGCAGGAGAATTGCTTGAACCTGGGAGGAGGAGGTTGCAGTGAGCCAAGATCGCGCCACTGCACTCCAGCCTAGGCGACAGAGCGATACTCCATCTCAGAAAAAAAAAAAAAAGAGAAATAGTGTCAGGAAAACCTGGTATCTTTCAAATTTGTTACTATCACATAGCATATACCAGCGTTCTAGTGTTTCTAGAGTTAATAGGACAGAGATAAGAAAAAAAGAGGATATTGGTTTAATCATCATTTACATAATGCATTTTATGAGCCCACATAAATTATGCATTGTTGACCTTTAAATTAATTTAGGCTTAATGAGATGGTTTCATCATGTTTAAAGACAGCATAATTATTTTCTTATGTTCATTATCATTTTCTAAGCTTACTTATGCTTTGTCCACCCTCAAGTCCCAAGTGTATTGTCTTACTATGAAAAATTGTTAAACCTGTTTTCTGGTGTGAGGTTTGCAGAAGTCTGGTCTCACCAAAGAGATATACTAAATTGTTTAATTTAGCAGGGTACACTAGAGTGACTTTTGTTTTAATTGTGAACTGTATTTCCAAAAGAGTTAAACTTTGTGGTGTTTAATGGGACCACAAATGTCGATTTTTCTTTTCTTTTCTTTTTTTTTTGAGACGGAGTTTTGCTCTTGTTGCCCAGGCTGGAGTGCAATGGCACGATCTCAGCTCACTGCAACCTCCGCCTCCCGGGTGTAAGCAATTCTCCTGCCTTAGCCTCCTGACTAGCTGGGACTACAGGTGCATGCCACCAAACCCAGCTAATTTTTGTATTTTTAGTATAGACAGGGTTTCACCACGTTGCCCAGGCTGGTCTTGAACTCCTGACCTCAGGTGATCCGCCTACCTCAGCCTCCCAAAGTGCTGGGATTATAGGCGTGAGCCCGGCCCACAAATGTACATTTTCAAATGTACTTCACACCAGGAATCTTAAATATCTTGGGCACAAATTGAATAATGAATCTGGGGCACAGCTGAGATATGAGAAAGTAGGATCCACAGGACCTAGGATCTTTAGAAATGAGTGGAGGAATTGAGACAGAGCACAGCCATGATGAGTTGTCTTTGCTCCATGATGTCTGAGCTTCAGCTGGGAAGACTCAGGAGCTGAGGATGACTTGATTTCTTGGGCCTGGAATCATCTGGAAGCATCTTCACTTGCATGTCTGGTGGCTGGTCCTGGGTGATGGCTGGGACCCCTCCTTGTCTGCCAGCTGGAACAAATATAGGTGGCCATTCCATGTGGTTTCTCAGCATAGACTAGCTTGGGCTTCCTCACAGCATGGCAGCTGGGCTCCAAAAGTGAGTGTCCCAAGAGATAGGAAGTAGAAGCTGCTAGCATCTTAAGACCTTGGACATGGTCATAGTGGTAATTTCTGATGTATTCTACTGGTCAAAGACTAACAAAGCCCAGATTCAACACTGACCCACCTCTTGATTAGAAGAATGGTAAAGAATTTTGGGGTTCTGTTCAAAAACCTCCACAGTTCCTTAGGTGATAGTGTAGCTCCATGGTTAGGAGGTCAGGGTGTGAACTCAGACTGCTTGGGTTCACATCTCACTTCCATTTTTACTGGCCATGTGATCTCAAGCAAGTTCATTGTTGTAGAAACGATTGTTGCACACCAATCTCCATTTCTGTTCTCTTCTTCCTGGGAATACCAATAGACTATTTCCCTGCCCCTTACACCTACGTGGGGCCAACAGACTAAGCTGGCAGGCTCTGAGCAGAAGTGCCACATGCCACTTCTGGCTGAGGTGGGTAAGAGCTCTGGATTTTCTTAGTCTCTTCTCCCTCAGCTGTAGCTAGAAGCAGGGCATCCAGCAGCAGACACAGGGGCAGGCAGTGGAGGAGTCACAATATGGAAGGGGCCTGGCTCCCTGAGTGACCCTAGAGTGAGTCCTTTCTCTCATGCTCCTGCCACCAGGATATGGGGGAGGTGTAAACTTTGTGTTGAGCCATGAGGTTTTGGGGGTTGTTTGTTACAGTAGTTAGCCTATGCTGACTAATACATTACCTAACCTCTCTGAACCTGTTTTGTTATCTGTAAAGTGGGGGTATTAGATGTGGCTACATTTAAGTGCCCCACAGGTTAAGTGAAATAATTTGATGCACAGTGCCCAGCACATAGTAAGTACCCAACGAGTGTTAGCTATTGTTAGTAAGTGAATGCGAATGCCCATTAGGAGAGGGTGGCAGGTTTGCTTCAGTAATGGTAGGGCTGTCATTATCATCACCATTGCTGGAATGGCACCTGCTATATACTGAGCACCTGCTTGGGCCAGACTCTGTCCTAGGGATGCTACACTTTTGTTCCTTTTAGTCCTCTGAGGCAGGAATTATTAACCTTGAGGAGGAGCTGAGAGTCCTGGGGCCCAGAACTGCTGCTGAAGCTGTCTCAAGTCACACCGGGCGCTCCGACCTCAGAGCCTGACTCCTTTTACTGCGGCGATGATACCCTTGCATTTTTGGGAAATGTGACTTTAAAAAAAAGTGTCATCCATAGGCCTTCCTTCTTGCTGGGGAAGTGCTGTGTCTTTCTTTTTTTTTTCTTTTTCTTTTTTTTTTTTTTTAAATCGATATTTTACCATATTTTATTTTTTATTATTTTTACACACGGGGTCTCACTCTATCACCCAGGCTGGAATGCAGTGATGTGATCATAGCTCACTGCAGCCTCCCACTCCTGGGTTTGTGTCTTCCTTATTGAGACTTTCTCTACTTCAAGTTGTAAGAATCTGCTTTTATAACTTAATCTTTTGGCTTACAGCTTGGCCCCAAGTGTGGAAGGCTCCAGCTTCCTTCCCCGCCGCAGGATCCTATTACTTCTTTGTTCTGTTTGAACTCTGCAGACTCTAAAGTGAAGTGAGTCGGTGGAAAACCTGGCTGGATCTCAAGAATACAGCCTGCGTCTGAGTCCCATGAATCTCCCCGCAGCTTAAGGCCTCCTGTGAGCAGAGCGGATACTGTAAAGCCCTCTCAAAGACACTAATAACTAGAAGTGGGACTGTAGCTCCAAAGTGGCTTTTTTTTCCCCTTTCCCCCGTGTAACTTGCTGGAAGCACTTCGTATTTCTTTATTTCTTTGTGGAATAAAAAAAATTTGTTTGTAATTCCATGAGAATTAGAAAGGCTTGTCTCAACTTCTGAGTTGGTACTTGACATTCAGATACTAAATTTACTAGAGGAAGCACTTTTGCTAGATTAACCAACGATGGATTTTTCTTCACAATTGCGTGTTAATTTGCTCCCTCTTTGAGATGTCAATTTTTGGTTTTAGCAACACAGCCCACCCCATAGATCAGCAGATCTGTGAGTGTGGATTCAGTTGTTAGCATCACGGGGCAGGGGTCCCTGGACTGCATGTGCCTTTGTATTAATTGACTAGACTTGCAGTTATATTAATTCTACTTGTGGTTGTTTAAATTGTGCCTACTTGCACCTTACTTGTTGAGTCAAGATAACAGGGGTTATATAAACGAGTTTATAATATATTTGGCTTATCCTGCTCCTCGTCTGGCTCTGATAAAATTTTAAACGTTCATTTTTCTTTCTTTCTGTCTCCCAAGTCGTTTCTGAAAGGCAAGACGTTAGACTAAAACCAACTTCTATACTTAAGATTATCCTTGAAATAGTTACGAATATGTTCAGGAAACAAAGCCTTGCTCATTATGTGCTAGAACAATGGGTAAACTTTGCTTTCTTGTAGAGAAGAAAATGTTTTCTTCAATAAGATATCGGAAACTATTTTTGTACTTGAGAAATCATGTTACTAGAGACCTAAAAGATCCGCATTTTGTGGCTGTTTAAGAAAGCTACACAAGATGGCGCCAGAGAGCCGGAGTGGAGAGGGATGCGCGCCCCGCACGAAAAGCTCAGCGCCAAAGGGGCGCCCGGGGCGGGCAGGCGCGTGTACCGGTTCTGCGGCGGGGCGGCTGGGCAGGGGCGCTTTGCCCATCCTCACAGCTTCCGCTCTCTCCGGGCAACCTTTTCACCAGCTTCGCACAGACTTTCCGCCCGGCACCGTCCTTGGGTCCTCGGGGTCTCTGGAGCGGCCTGGAGGAGCCGCTGGAGAAGGAAGGGGGAGAAAGCAGCGGCGGAGGCGGAGGCTTCCTCAGGCCCACTTCGAAGCAGGGCGCCCGGCCGAGCCTCTGAGGAAAGCGCGCGCGGGACGCGGATGGGTCTCGGCCTCCAGGGGCCGCGGGAAGGGAGAGGAGGAGGGCGAGGGGAAGCGGCGCTCGCGCCCGGACTCCGGCCATTCCTCAGCGGTCCACCGCAGCTGGCGTTCTTCTTTGATCCCCGGAGTTCTCAATGAAAGAACGGAGAAAGTGGCTTAAAAAATTGTGGTTGAATACACACAACAGAAAATTTACCATCTTAACCAGTTCGGTGGCATGGAGTGCACTCAGCCGTTGCGTATATGGGCGAGTGTCGCCACTGCCCATCTCCAGAACGCTTCATCAAAGGGGACGAAACATCGCGTCCGTGAAATGATAACTCCCGCTCCCCTCTCCCCGCTCTCCCCGGCCCTGGCAGCCAAGCGTGCTCTTTCTGTCTGGAGGAATCTAACCACTCTCCGCACCCCATAGAAGCGGAATGCCACAGTCCCATTTGTCCTTTTGTGATGGACTGACTTCACTTAGCATCATGGCCTCAAGGCTCATTCCTGCTGTAGCCTGTGCCAGAATTGCCTGCCTTTTAATAAGCCTGAATCATATTCCTGTGTGTGTGTGTGTGTGTGTGTGTGTGTGTATCACCACATTTTGCCACTTTTACGTATAGACCACATATCTTTCTTCCTTTTTTAAAAAAATTATTTTTTATTTCAATAGTTTTTGGGGTACAGGTGGCGTTCGGTTGTGTGGATACATTCTTTTTTTTGGGGGGCAGAGTCTTGCTCTGTCGCCCAGGCTGGAGTACAGTGGCAGGATCTCGGCTCACTGCAATCTTCCCCTCCTGGGTTCAAGCGATCCTCCTGCCTCAGTCTCCCGAGTAGCTGGGACTACAGGCACCTGCCACCACGCCCAGCTAATTTTTGTATTTTTAGTGGAGACGGGGCTTCACCACTTTGGCCAGGCAGGTCTTGAACTCCTGACCTCAGGTGATCCGACTGCCTCTGCCTCCCAAAGTGCTAGGATTACAGGAGTGAGCCACCGTGCCCAGCCATGTGGATACATTCTTCAGCCTTGATTTCTGAGATATTAGTGCACCTGTTACTGAAGCAGTGTATGCTGTACCCAATGTGTAGTCTTTTATACCTCGCCCCCCGACCAGCCTTCCCCTGCAAGTCCCCAGAGTCCATTATATCACTCTTATGCCTTTGCCTACTTATAGCTTACCTCCCACTTATAAGTGAGAACATATGGTATTTGGTTTTCCATTCCTGAGTTACTTCACTTCGAATAATGGCCTCCAGCTCCATCCAAGTTGCCGCAAAAGACATTATTTCATTCCTTTTTATGGCTGAGTAGTGTTCCATGGTGTATATATGCTACATTTTCTTTTTCCACTTACTTAGACCACATTTTAAAAATCCGTTAATCTGTTTAAGGATATTTGGGTTGCTTCCACCTTTTGGCTATTTCAAAAACTATTGAAATTAAAAATAAATAAATAATTAAAAAAATAAACATTTAAAAATTTGAGTCCCTGCTTTTAATTATTTTAGGCATATACTCAGAAGTGGAACTTATGTTTAATTTTTTGAGGAACCGCCATACTTTTTCCCATAGCAGTACACAAGGGTTTTAATTTCTCCACATCCTTGTTGACATTTTTTATTTTCTGATTAAAAAAAAATTAGAGCCATCCTAATGGGTATGAAGTGATTGCGGTGGGGTTTGATGTGCATTTCCTGGAGAAATTGGTATTTATTTATTTATTTATTGTTTAGGCCACATTTTATTTTTATTTTTTTCATAATTGAGATTTTATTGGTTGAGGATCAGTACAGACATTTCAATTTGTACACAAATCTTAACATACGTAACGAAATTCTAAAAAGCCATGTATTGTAATTCTTTTTTAAAGTTATTCCAGTGACTCTCCAGCTTAAAATTTGGAAGCAAATTTTCCTTAAGAGGTTATCAAGTACCAGTATCTTCACATGTTGGTCAGCTGTTACATACGGCCCACCAGTTCACAACTCAATAGCACGTACACTACATGTTCAAATTTGTAATCTTTCACAGCACAGTAAGTTATTAGGAAAACAGGACTACCACAACCAAAGATGTTACAGAGTACACACAATTCTGACAGAGAGCGCCATGATCAAAGAGTGGTTTTCTTTAGGAAACAATTCTACTAAAAAACAACATGGTAATAGAAGTAATTTAGAATGTTCAAGACATTAAATGCAGGACTGACTCCATATTGCCATTTAATATGCTTTGTATTATGGGATATAAAAACTAACCCCCCATCTATGGAATGTTAAGCTGACACCCGAGACAGTCAGAGCCTCCCATAATTCAATATCCCACACTACTTTCTGGTTGTACCAAAAAATAAACAACCAGGAAATGATTTCACCTCTTAAAAAAAAGCATTTACACTTAAAAAATGGGATGAGGTGGGATTCCCTCCTCCTTAAAAATGTTTCTAGAGCTACTAAAAAACTTGCATTTACAAAATAGTTGATAAAAATTTTCCTCTGGATTGTACAAGAAGGGAGACAGGGACCACTGATGAGACATGGTATATGGTTATTAATCAGACTTGGCTTCTTTCTCTCCTGCTTCATCAGAGGCTGGACTCTCCTCAGTTTTCGTTTCCCCGTTTTCTGCAGGTAAATCTTCTTTAGTTTCTTGGTTAGCCACTTCGGCCTGTTTTCCCTTTGCTCCCCTTTTCCCTTTTGTTTGCGCTTTTTTGTCTGAAGATTTATCCTTCGCTGCTGCCTTTTTCGGCTTCGCTTCCACTTTTGCAGGAGGTTTAGCTGACAACCGCGCCGATCTCCTCTTGGACTCTTCCTTGGCGGCGCCTTCGGCGGAGCTGACCTTCCTCTTGGGCATCCTGGCGGCGGGGAAGGCGCGTGCCGGGTGCCTGCGGGCCGCGGCGCGCCGAGAGCCTTCGCGAAACTGGGCTGCCTTGCCGCTGCCGCTCCTCCCGCCGCCCGAGCTGCTGAGCTAGGCCACATTTATTTATTGTTTAGCTCCCTAGTCAGGAGACTCTGCAGCGTGGCCCAGTGGTTACGAGCGTGGTATCTGGTGTGTGACGGGCCTGAGGGAGAATGCCAGTGAGAGGCGACAGCGTGCTGGCAGCTCTTGCAGCCCTTGCTCGCTCTCGGCACCTCCTCTGCCTGGGCTCCCACTTTGGCGGCACTTGAGAAGCCCTTCAGCCCGCCGCTGCACTGTGGGAGCCGCTTTCTGGGCTAGCCAAGGCCGGAGCCGGCTCCCTCAGCTTGCAGGGAGGTGTGGAGGGAGAGGCGCAGGCAGGAACCCGGGCTGCGTTCGGCGCTTGCGGGCCAGCGCGAGTTCCGGGTGGGCGTGGGCTCGGCGGGCTCCGCACTTGGAGCGGCCGGCCGGCCCACAAGCCCCAGGCAGTGAAGGGCTTAGCACCTGGGCCAGCAGCTGCTGTGCTCGACTTCTCGCCGGGCCTTAGCTGCCTCCCCGCGGGGCAGGGCTTGGGACCTGCAGCCCGCCAAGCCTGAGCCTCCCCTCCCTGCGGTGGGCTCCTGTGCCCGGCCCGAGCCTCCCCGACGAGCACCGCCCCCTGCTCCAAGGTGCCCAGTCACATCGACCACCCAAGGGCTGAGGAGTGCGGGTGCACCTGCCTCCCCGGTGTGGGATCCACGGGGTGAAGCCAGCTGGGCTCCTGAGTCTGGTGGGGACTTGGAGAATCTTTATGTCTAGCTAAGGGATTGTAAATACACCAATTGGCCCTCTGTATCTAGCTAAAGGTTTGTAAACACACCAATCAGCACCCTGTGTCTAGCTAAGGGTTTGTGAATGCACCAATCACACTCTGTATCTAGCTGATTTAGTGGGGAGGTGGAGCACTTTTGTGTCTAGCTCAAGGATTGTAAAGGCAGCAATCAGCACCCTGTCAAAACGGACCAATCAGCTCTCTGTAAAATGGACCAATCAGCAGGATGTGGGTGGGGCCAGATAAGAGAATAAAAGCAGGCTGCCCGAGGCCGCAGTGGTTTTGTTTCGGTCTTGACAATAAATCTTGCTGATGCTCACTCATTGGGTCCACATTGCCTTTATGAGCTGTAACACTCACCACGAAGGTGTGTAGCTTCACTCCTGAAGCCAGCGAGACCATGAACCCACCTGGAGGAACGAACAACTCCAGCTGCGGTGCCTTAAGAGCTGTAACACTCACCGCGAAGTCTGCAGCTTCACTCCTGAAGCCAGTGAGACCACGAAGCCGCCAGAAGGAATAAAACTCTGAACACATCCGAACAACAGAAGGAACAAACTCCGGACACGCCGCCTTTAGGAACTGTAACGCTCACCGCGAAGGTCCGCGGCTTCATTCTTGCAGTGAGACCAAGAACCCACCAATTCCGGACACACCAGTGCCCTGGTGGACTCTCGATGATACTAGTGAGTTACAGCTGCCCTAAATCTCAATGTCTTTACCTGTCGGTTGGGGTTCATAGTATATTCCTTCCACCTGGGTGGGTTAGAGGAAGACATGAACTAAGGTATGTATAGCTAGCTCTCAGCACAGTTCCCGGCATACAGTAATAGTCAAAAATGGTATCGGTGTATACAGAAGCTCAATGCAGAAATTAGTGAACCAGGGAGGTGCTTAGGTCCATCTGGCTGCAGAGGGCCTTCTACCTCCCTTTGCCAACATCTTTCTTCCCCACCACAACATTACTGACATCCTGTCCTCATATGAGGCATGTTTAGCAAAGAGGTGCTCACCGTGAGCCCTGCACTCAGTGGTTTCTTGAGTTCCTCTCAGTGCCAGAGTCTGGGACTGTCACTGGAAGCTACTAAGCTGATTCCCAAGAGTAAGAGTCTTAGTTGGAACAGATCAGTGTCACCTAGCATCATCCTAGGCCCTTGGGACCATTCAAGGCTCCTGGCCCACATTCTTTCCTCTGAACACCACCACCTGTGCCAGGGTTCCTGCCCCAGGCTTGGTTAGGAACAGACTGAGCAGGACACCTGAATGATATCCGAAGATTTGATCTGCTCAGGGCAGCTTCTGCTGAGAAGGACTCCCCCCTGGGGCAAGCAGAGGCTGCCGGCTGCAGGCATAGGAGCTGGTGGGTTTGATAAAGAGGCCAAGTGTTGTCATTACTAGACACATGGTAGGATGCTTGGGGGAAATGGGTCGTCTCGGACTTCATTAAATGTGTTCACCCTTTGCAATTTGAACGGAGCAGGAAATATTTTTGAAATAGAGTGCAACAGGTTCACTGAGGAGTCAGAAAGCTTGGGAGGAGAGAGAGCCTGGGGCAGGACATAGGTCCGATTTTCTTTCAAGGAGCCAGTGATAACTTTGTAGGATGATTGGTTTTTGGATCTTTGCCAGGTGGTTTCTCTTTACTGTGCAGGAACAATTGGTAAAGGAAGAGATGGTATCTCCACTGAGCAATTAGAGAGCAACAGAAACAGTCTTGGAGAGGCTTGAGCTCGAGGGGGGCCCAGGCTGATGGGGCTGAGAGCAGAGAGGCGAAGGGGGCGGCTGGCCAGGAGGAAGGGCAGAGGCCAGTGCTGAGCTGGTGAGATTTCACGCAGCACTGGGAGCTTCCTGAAGTGGGCATGCTGCAAAGAAATTCTTTTCTAGGGGAAGAGTTGCAACAGGAGGTTCTTCAACCATTCAGAGGGCTTGAGGAGTCGGGGGGCCTGGGAGACCCCCGTCTGGCATGCAGTAACTATTTATTGAGCTTATGAATTCGATCTGCTTTTTGTTCTTACAGGCCCTTTGGTGAAGAAGCCAGACTAGACTCAAGTTGGGGAGAGAGAGGATGCAGGCAATTCTGGTCAGGGAGTACAGCCTGGAGGAGGTGATGTTTGAGCTGGGTCCTGAGGGGTGCATAGGAGTTTAGCTAGGTGAACCATGAAGTAAGGGCAGAGGTGAGTGGGAGCTGGGTGGTCGAGGCCTAGGCAGAGGAAACAATTAATGCAAAGGCCCTAAGGTGAGTAATGATGTGGGAGAGTCTGAGAATCTCCTGATGCTCACATGGCTGGAATATAAGGTCTCCCATAGTGGTTGTGTAGTCCTAAGTTGAAGTTGAAGAGGGAAGCAGGGGCCAAGTCATGCTGAGCCTCTTGTGTCTTGTAAGCCTTGCCAGGGAGTTAGGATCTTATCCTGAAGACAATAGGATCCACTGGAGGGAGGGTTTGAAGCAGGGAGTGACGTGGTAAGAGATGACTTTTCAAGAGATGACTCTGTGGAGACTGGGTGGGTGGGGCAAAACTCAGGCAGGCGCCAGGACTGCCCTCCTCCAGACCGGGCTGACTCTCTTCCAGGGTGCAGATGGAGGTTAGAGCTAAGATGACGGAAATAGGAAGGAGTGGAACGTGCCCTTTTCCGCTGCCAGCTCCAGAGGGTATCGCCCTTACAACTGCATAGTGCACATCCCGTTACATCCTGCGGCACCTCTGAGTGAACAGATTGAAGAGGAGGACCAAGAGGTGGTTTGATTGAAATCAAAGATGACTTGCAGGTTTCTGACTTGGTAACTTGGAGATTAGGGGATGTTGGTGCCATTCACTGAGTCAGAGAACACAGGAAGTCAGCAGGTTTGGGAGGCCATGACTGGCAGGAACTGGGAAAGCAGAGGGGAGGCAGGGCATGGGTGTCAGCCCAAAGCCCTTGAGAGTGAGGACCCTCTGCTATCTGTCTGCCTCACAGCGCCTGGCTCCAGCTGGACACGAGGCAGCCTCTTTTGACTCCCCCAGGGGTTGATCCAGGCTCTTCGAGGCAATTTGGGTTAGGGTTGAGAATGGGGGTGATTTGGGGGTCAAAAGCTAGTGATGAGAAAAGTGAATGCCACAGGCTGGCCATTGTGGATCATGCCTGTAATCCCAGCACTTTGGGAGGCTGAAGAGGGAGGATCACTTGAGCCCAGTAGTTCAAGACCAGCCTGGGCAACACAGTGAGACCCCTGTCTTCACACACACACACAAAAATTTAGCAGGGTACGGTGGTACACACTTGTATTTCTAGGTACTAAAGAGGCTGAGGCAGGAGGAGCTCTTGAGCCTAGGAGTTTGAGGCTGAAATGAGCTATGATTATAGCACTGTACTCCAGCCTGGGTGACAGAGAGAGACCCTGTCTCTTAAAAACAAAAACAGAAAGAGCGAACACCACAAAAAGAGCCTCAAAGGACACTCTGTGTTGTCTCCGTGATGACCTCAAACAAAGAACCCATGAAGGTAGCTGGTCATTACAGGGTTACCGCCCTTCTAGAGCAAACCGTACAAAAGGAAAGCCCCAAACACCTGGGTTGCAGAATTGACTTCAAACCAAATGCAATCAACCTGACTTTGCTTGTAACCCAGGGGTCTTGGAAGACTCCAGAATGAGCCTGAAGTCTGGCTTATCAGTCAGGGAGCTGCTCAACCCCACATTTGCACCAGGGTCTACTGCTCGCTGCTCTGCAGAGAACATTAAAAGCATTCACAAAAGAGATATCACAGATTTTGTTGGTTGTAAACCTGAAAGACGAATTTTTCTGTTATATTTTATGAGTATGGGTTTTAAAGCCTTCATAATACCTGGCTACGCCTCTCCAGTACCCATGCATTTAAGGTGATGATTTGTGATGTTAAATTCAGCCTGAAGAAGACCTCCATTGTCTCAGGGTGACTCAACATATGCAACTGACAGAGGTAATTACCTTTTTTTTTCCCCATAGATGGCAGATAGAAGATTTTGCTGTTCCCTTTGTGCTTCTGAGCCCACAGATGGGATCCTCTGTGCGCAACTTGCACGGGATCCCAAGCAGATAAGAGGTGCTGTGGTTGCCAACAGCATCTAAAGACCCCAAGAGTTATTAATAGAATAGATACAATTAAGACGTGGATTTTGAAGGCTCAGTATCTGCAAGGGACCTCTGTCGGAGGCAGGGAGGAGGTGGTATCAACAAAACCATAGGTTATTAGAGCTGGGCAAAGCCTTTGAAACCACTTGTCCTTGCAAACCACAGATTGTTAAAGCTGGACAAAACCTTTGGGATCATTTGCCCTGGTCTGTTAGATTTCTAGATTGGCCACCAAGGCCTGATCATGTTTGAGGCTTTATTCAAGGTTATCCAGAGGCCTCTAACACTTAAAAATAATTCTTTAATTTACAAAAGCAAAGTTTCTTTTGTTAAGTAGGGCGATTAAATGAAACACATGCCTCCATTTGTAGCCTAATAATAACCCAGAAGTTTTCTTCTGCCCTAAATTAGGAAACCTCATTAACGAACAGGGCTTTTAAGAAGCCACAAAGCGTGGTCTGCTTTTCCCCTGCTTAGAAGGACAGCAGCAATTACAGCTCGTGGCTCAGACAGTGGTTTTCTGTGTCTTCCCTGTGTTTGTGAGAGATTGAAGTCATTAATGAGACGCTAATGATCCAGCTCGCAAACTTAACTGGAGTTCACTGTGCCTTTCCTGGAACGGGTGAAGAGGCCTCTGCTTTTTGCTTCCTTACCTGTGATGGTGAATTCAGGCCAACCCTGGAGCAAGGAAAGGGCAGATTTTCAAAAGCTGGGCAGACTAAACCTCAATCATCTTGGCAAAACGTTTTCTCCAAGGAATGTGTGCTCAACAATGGGACCAACCCCAGACAATAAACAATGCATTTGCTATCCTTTGGAAACCTGGTTCTCCCTCCATTGGAAAGTTGGTCTTTTTGTTCCTTCTGTCAGAGAATGTGTAACCTGAAAAGGATCTGCTCAGTCACATTCTGTTCACCTGGCTTGGCCTCAGAGTTGGAACATTCTTCCCTTTGTGATTGTGGACATTTGTCTTGAAACAAAGGGCTGACCTTTCTCTTCATGCATGAGCAATGTCTTTTATTTTTGTTTCTTGATAGATGCTGTGCAACATATATAAAGCCTCTAGTATGTGTTCAATTGTGGCACCTTGGCAGGTGCTCAATTGCCTAAGTTTGAGTTCCCCCAGAAGCAAATCCTGTAGGGATTTGAGGAAATGAGACGGGAGGGCAGGCAGCCAGTAAAGGGGTGTTACTGAGCTTGCTCCCACCGTGGGCAGCTGGAGGTTGAGTTCTGCAGGGATGGCGGAATATGCTAGAGAATTGTCCCACCCCAGTTGCAAAGGACAAATACTGTATGATTCCACTTACATTGGGATCTGAAGGTAGTAAAATTCATACAGACAAAGTCAAACAGTGGTTGCCCAGGGCTGGTGGGAGAGAAAAATGGGGAGTTATTGTTTAATAGGTATAGAGTTCAGTTTTACAAGATAAAAAGGGCTGGGTATGGTGGCTCACACCTGTGATCCCAGCACTTTGGGAGGCCAAGGCAGGTAGATCACTTGAGGTCAGAGGTTTGAGACCAGCCTGGCCAACATGATGAAACCCTGTCTCTACTAAAAATACAAAAATTAGCCAGGCATGATGGTACAAACCTGTAATTGCAGCTATTCAGGAGACTGAGGCAGGGGAATCGCTTGAATCCAGGAGGTGGAGGTTGCAATGAGCAGAGATCACGCCACTGTACTCTAGCCTGGGCCACAGAGTGAGACACCATCTCAAAACAAACCAAAAGATAAAAAGAGTTCTGGAGATGGATGGTGGTGATGGTAGCACAACACTGCAAATGTATTTAATACTACTGAGGCGTACCCTTAAGAATAGTTAAGATGGTAAATTTTATGTTTTGGGTTTTTTTTTTCAACTACAATTGAAAAAATACAGTTGAAAGAAAAGAAGACACACTGGTCCTGCCCCTCCAGGGCAGGAGGCTTAGAGGAGAGTGGTGTCTCGCAGTTCACCTCGGGCCCCACTGAACATCTATGACACACGTGTTAAGAGATGCTGTTCTAGAATGTGAGAGCCACAGACCTGGCTGAGGTGGTGGCTGCCTTTCCCTGGTGTCTTGCCTCATCGAAGGGGCTCTGTGTCACCACTGCTCCCTCCTTGTTTGTCCTTCCCTCTGTTTTTGGGGTCTTTTTCCTAACCAATAACAACATATATATTTTACATATAATGATACCTATGGCAATTACACATAGGGACATATCTATTATATTAAGTGTAGTAATAACAACTGTCTTAGGCTGGGCTCCCT
The DNA here is from genome assembly GCF_000001405.40 of Homo sapiens. NCBI lineage: Eukaryota > Metazoa > Chordata > Mammalia > Primates > Hominidae > Homo > Homo sapiens. The sequence continues at coordinate 92,704,613 of NC_000015.10, read as the reverse complement.
CAGAAGCTGACCTTGAGTTAGGGTTTGAGTGCTAATAGATGATTTGGGAGGCAGTCTCGGGGAGCATCGATGGGGCAGGAGGGGGAAGGCGAGAATAGGGAAAGGAAGGAAGCCAACAGGGCAGGTTGAAGAGCTAGTTGTCGCTGTGGGCACCTGGGATGTGGTACCACGGAGGACCTCAAGGAGATCGCATCAAACACACTGCGGAGTTCTTTCCCCCAGATGCAAAGAAGCTGGATTCTTTGTCACCAGCTGCCATCCTTCATTGGTTGAGGGCTGCTCCCAGCATCTTCCTGCCTGCAAGGCAGAGGCAGGCTCCTCGTGTTCAGTAGAGTTGCTGGTGTGCATGAATGGGAAGTGCTGGGGACATGGGGTGCCCACAGCAGCCGTAACTGGAATTGGAGCCTCTGCTGTGTGCTTGGTGCTTCACGTGCATTTGCTGGCCTGCCTCTAGTTTCAGGGATTTTTCAGAGGAGGAAAGAAGAGAGTAAGCAGCTTGCCTAAGGCCACACAGCTTGTTGGGTGGCCCGTCTACTCCAGAGCCTAAACCATTTTGCTGCTGCTTGCTTTGAGGTGTCCTGTCTGGCCCCTGGTTCACTGCAGTTGGCCTTCGTGGCCCTGGCCTTGGGGACATCTCTCATGAGCTGCTCTCCTGTGGAGCTCCAGTTTCTTTCACCTAGTCACCAAAGTGCTGTGTGTTAGACACCACGGGAACACAGAACAGGGGTCACTATGAAGCCCACTTTTCTGAGGACATGCCTGGGGATCAGAGAGGTTGAGAGGGCTGCCCAAAGACCCACAGCGGGAGAGTGATGGAGTGAGCTCCTGGGTCACTGGATTTTCCCAGCAGTGTGTTTTCACTGTGTTGGAGTTTGGTGAAACGGGCATCTACCGCTGGGTGAACATAAACTGGTGACATCTTAATGGTGGACAATGTGGTTAATATCAATCAAAATGACAAATGCTTATGGCCATACACCCAGCAATTCCACTTCCGAGAGTTCGTCATGCTGATACGCTTGCATGAGTATGAAATGGTTTATATATCTAGTGGCTCTCTGCAGCTTTGTTTTGCTAGTTAAAAGACTGAAAATAACCTAAATGACCACTGGTGGGAAACTGGCTAAAAACAGTGTGGGCCACCCATGTAACGAAATGCCACGCAGCCATGAAGAAGATGGGGAGGCTCACTGTGGATTAATTTGTTAGAAGAAAAAAAAAAAAACCAAGGGTGCAGCGTGCTGAAGTTGTGCAAAGAAAGAAAATGTGTGTGTGTGTGTGATTGTTGCTGCCTGTCTCTGATAAGACACCCAAGAAACTGGCAATGCTGATTGTCTTTGGGAGGGGACTGGGATCCTGGGGCCAGGGGAGGAAAGGAGACATTTTCTGACTGCCTTCTAATATCTTTTGAATGCCAAATCATGTAGATATATTAAATCTGTATATCTCAAAAAGAAATACAACTAAAAAATCTTAAGTTCTGTGAATTTTTTGTTATGTTGCACTTCACTCTGAAATCCCAATGTCCTCATCTGTGAAATGATGAAAATAATATTTGTTTCAGAGAGCAGTGGCTGTGATGCCTATTCCTTTAGAGCACTTACCACTGCCCTTATACACTTACTTTTAAGAGCAGCTGATTGATCTGTCTCCACTGCTCAAGAGAAAGCACCATGAGGGCAGGACCTGTGTATTACTTGCTCACCACTCTATCTCTGGGCCTGCGCCTGGTGGGGGTGCTACACCAAAAATGTTGTTTTGAGTAAGTGAATGAGAGCACTTTGTTAATGGGAACATGCTCTTTATGTCTTTGCTGTTATTATTGATAGGATCAAACTGCATGAGGCAGCGGTGCCTAGAAGCTCAGAGGCCCCACTCCAGCCGGACAGTCTAGGTTCAAATCTCAGCTCTGCCACTTCTTAGCTGTTTGACCAGGGGCAGGTCACTTAACTTCTCTGTGCTCCAATTTCTCATTAGCAATTGAGAATGGTGAAAGTACCTACCATATAGGGGTTTTGTGAGGGTCAAAATAGTTTGTACATATACAGCCCTTAAAACAGTACTTGGTTCTCTGTCCATGTGACATATTTCTGTTTCCCATGACTTTGATACTTTTTCCATTATCATTATTCATCTTTATGATTCAGGCAAAACTTCTTTCAGAATTTGGGAAGACTCTTAGATAATAGTAGAAATACTTCTTTGCTTGTTCCCTCTACCTCTTTTATTTTTTATTTTAGAGATAGGGTCTTGCTCTGTTGTCTAGGCTGGAATGCAGTGGCACAATCATAGCTCACTATAACTTTGAACTCTGGGCTTAAAGGATCCTCTTGCTTCAGCCTCCCGAGTAGCTAGGACTACAGGTGCATGCCACCATGCTCAGTTAATTCTTAAATGCTTTGTAGAGATGGGGTCTCACTATGTTGCCTGGGCTGGCCTTGAACTCCTGGCCTCAAGTTCCAAAGCACTGGGATTACAGGTATGAGCCACCATGCCTGGCTTTCAATTCTTCCTTCCCTTAAACACGAAGGTGGCTCATTCCCTGACTGGGTTCTTACGTTTCTAGAGAATACCCACTGAGGAACAAAGCCTTCCTACTTTAGAGGATGGTTGGCTCCCAGGAGGCTTGAAAATCAGTTGGCTGGTCAGGGGGGCTTGGGAAGGCACTTTTGTTACGTTAAATTAAGCTTAGCTTAAAGCTGCCCCCTTAAATATTTTAGTTGGGCCTAAAGGTTTCACCATACGTAGTAAACTGTAACTAAAGTGGATGTGTAAAAAGGCTGTAGCCTACTCTTGTACCAGTCACTGAGTTTTGGCCAATCAAAGACAGCCTACTTTTCATACTTGGTTCAAATAAGGCAAATGCCAGACTATAATTAATCCAGCTGCTTATGTACCTCACTTTTATTTTCTGTACATCACTTTCTTTCTTTTTTCTTTTTTTTTTTTTTTTGGTCCATAAATCTTTTACCATGTGACAACACCAGGGTCTCCCTGAACCTATTCTGATTCTAGGGCTGCCGAGTTTGTGAATCATTCTTTCCTCAGTGAAACCCTGTTAAATTTAATTTGTCTATGGGTTTTCTTTTTTTTATTATTTTATTTTTTATTATTATACTTTAAGTTCTAGGGTACATGTGCACAACGTGCAGGTTTGTTACATATGTATACATGTGCCATGTTGGTATGCTGCACCCAGTAACTCGTCATTTATATTAGGTATATTTCCTAATGCTATCCCTCCCCCTTCCCCGCACCCCACAACAGGCCCCGGTGTGTGATGTTCCCCATCCTGTGTCCATGTGTTCTCATTGTTCGATTCCCACCTATGAGTGAGAACATGTGGTGTTCAGTTTTCTGTCCTTGTGATAGTTTGCTCAGAATGATGGTTTCCAGCTTCATCCATGTCCCTACAAAGGACATGAAGTCATCCTTTTTTATGGCTGCATAGTATTCCGTGGTATATATGTGCCATATTTTCTTAATCCAGTCTATCATTGATGGACATTTGGGTTGATTCCAAGTCTTTGCTATTGTGAATAGTGCCACAAAAAACATACGTGTGCATGTGTCTTTACAGCAGCATGATTTATAATCCTTTGGGTATATACCCTATAATGGGATGGCTGGGTCAAATGGTATTTCTAGTTCTAGATCCTTGAGGAATTGCCACACTGTCTTCCACAATGGTTGGACTAGTTTACAGTCCCACCAACAGTATAAAAGTGTTCCTCTTTCTCCACATCCTCTCCAGTCCCTGTTGTTTCCTGACTTTTTAATGATTGCCATTCCAACTGGTGTGAGATGGTATCTCATGGTGGTTTTGATTTGCATTTCTCTGATGTCCAGTGATGATGAGTATTTTTTCGTGTGTCTATTGGCTGCATAAATGTCTTCTTTTGAGGAGTGTCTGTTCATATCCTTTGCCCACTTTTTGACGGGGTTGTTTGATTTTTTCTTGTAAATTTGTTTAAGTTCTTTGTAGATCCTGGATATTAGCCCTTTGTCAGATGGGTGGATTGCAAAAATTTTCTCCCATTCTGTAGGTTGCGTGTTCACTCTGATGGTAGTTTCTTTTGCTGTGCAGAAGCTCTTTAGTTTAATTAGATCCCATTGGTCAATTTTGTCTTTTGTTGCCATTGCTTTTGGTGTTTTAGACATGAAGTCCTTGCCCATGCCTACGTCCTGAATGGTATTGCCTAGGTTTTCTTCTAGGGTTTTTATGGTTTTAGGTCTAACATTTAAGTCTTTAATGCATCTTCAATTAATTTTTGTATAAGGTGTAAGGAAGGGATCCAGTTTCAGCTTTCTACATATGGCTAGCCAGTTTTCCAAGCACCATTTATTAAATAGGGAATCCTTTCCCCATTTCTTGTTTTTGTCAGGTTTGTCAAAGATCAGATGGTTGTAGATGTGTGGTATTATTTCTGAGGGCTCTGTTCTGTTCCATTGGTCTATATCTCTGTTTTGGTTACCAGTACCATGCTGTTTTGGTTACTGTAGCTTTGTAGTATAGTTTGAAGTCACGTAGCATGATGCCTCAAGCTTTGTTCTTTTGGCTTAAGATTGTCTTGGCGAGGCAGGCTCTTTTTTGGTTCCCTCTGAACTTTAAAGTAGTTTTTTCCAATTTTGTGAAGAAAAGTCATTGGTAGCTTGATGGGGATGGCATTGAATCTATAAATGACCTTGGGCTGTATGGCCTTTTTCATGATATTGATTCTTCCTATCCATGAGCATAGAATGTTCTTCCATTTGTTTGTGTCCTCTTTTATTTCATTGAGCAGTGGTTTGCAGTTCTCCTTGAAGAGGTCCTTCACATCCCTTGTAAGTTGGATTCCTAGGTATTTTATTCTCTTTGAAGCAATTGTGAATGGGAATTCACTCATGATTTGGCTCTCTGTTTGTCTGTTATTGGTGCCTGCCTCTGTAGACTCCACCTCTAGGGGCAGGGCATAGCTGAACAAAAGGCAGCAGAAACTCCTGCAGACTTAAACATCCCTGTCTGACAGCTTTGAAGAGAGTAGTGGTTCTCCCAGCAAGGAGTTTGAGATCTAAGAACGGACAGACCGCCTCCTCAAGTGGGTCCCTGACCCCTGAGTAGCCTAACTGGGAGGCACCTCCCAATAGGGGCCAACTGACACCTCATACGGCCAGGTGCCCCTCTGAGACGAAGCTTCCAGAGGAACGATCAGACAGCAACATTTGCCATTCTGCAATATTTGCTGTTCTGCAGCCTCTGCTGGTGATACCCAGGCAAACGAGGTCTGGAGTGGACCTCCAGCAAACTCCAACAGACCTGCAACTGAGGGTCCTGACTGTTAGAAGGAAAACTAACAAACAGAAACGACATCCACACCAAAACCCCATCATCACAGACCAAAGGTAGATAAAACCACAAAGATGGGGAGAAACCAGAGCAGAAAAGCTGAAAATGGGTTTTCTTTTAACAGGTGGTGGCAGAAGTGGGATCCAAAGTAGAGCTTCTCGTAACCCCCAGAAGCACTGAGTGACCAAGTGTGACACCAGCTGGACTCATTGTGTCCATTGCTCTCTTGCAGCACCTGGGGCTCATGGGTAAGTTCTCTCTTGGAGTCTGAAGCTCCACAGATTTATGTTTAGAGCTATCTAAATTTGAGCAAAATTTTAAGTCTGAGCAGGATTTGGATGTCATAACAAGCTGGACTAGGTCCAGGATCAAATTCAATGAAATAATTAACTGGCTTGGATCCAGTTAGAGACCTCAGATGTCTGACTGAGCCAGCCAGAAATTGGCAGTAAATGGTAATACTACAGGGGGTGTGAACTTTGGCTTTTGGAGATTCGCGGGATTTTTGTGTTCTATTCCCTTTGTTTCTTTTTCTTGTGCACTTAGTTAGGGAAAAAAGTACAGGCTAAGTTAATCAAGGGAATCTGAGAGCCAAAGCCAAGATTCAAGGTAAAAATGGGATCCTTACTTTCTGAAGAATTGAGTATTCTACTTTCTGGCTATGCCTACCCATACATATAGAAGTATTAGGCCTTGGAAGCAACAAATACTTACAGAAATGGCAAAATCTTACTAAAGGTAAATAGAATTACAGTGAAATGTTCCAAATGAACAATACTGCACTTTGAGAAGTGCATTTAAAAATGAGGGCTCCTGAATTAGTCTCATCCAGGGATGCCTATGGTTGTGCAGAAACTTCTATAAAGATTTCAATGTTTTTACTCCCTCTTTTAAAATAACCTTTTAAAAAATTTATTTAAAAGGTTATTTTTTTGTAGAGATGGGGATGTCGCTTTGTTACCCAGGCTGGTCTTGAACTCCTGGACTCAAGTGATTTTCCTGCCTCAGCCTCCCAAAGTGCTGAAATTACAGGTGTGAGCCACCATGTCAGACCCTTAAAAAGACAAGGCAAATAAAAAGCTTAAGTGCCTAATAGATGAGAAAAATTGAATCTGTTAACCTTTTGGCTTAGTTACTATCCCACCCCTTTCTTTTCAAGTGTGAAAAGAAAGGTCTCCAGGATAAAGGGTTTATGAAAGGTAGGCCCTCAGAGAAAGTAGGCTTGCTTCTTTTTCAGATCTGTACATGCTGAAACCAGGCACAGAGAATATTTTCTTTGCCTTATTCTTAATGAGTTCTACTCTGAGCTCAGTAAATTGAGTTAAGAAATAATGGTTAAGTTGAAAAGACAGCCTATTGGCTGGGTGTGGTGGCTCATCCTGTAATCCCAACACTTTGGGAGGCCAAGGCAGGCAGATCACGAGGCCAGGAGATTGAGACCATCCTGGCCAACATGGTGAAACCCCCTTTTTACTAAAAGGCAAAAAATTAGCTGGGCGTGGTGGTACGTGCCTGTAGTCTCAGCTACTTGGGAGGCTGAGGCAAGGGAATTGCTTGATCCCTGGAGGTGGAGGTTGTAGTGAGCCGAGATTGTGACACTGCACTCCAGCCTGGTGACAGAGCAAGACTCTGTCTCAAAAAAAAAAAAAAAAAAAAAAAAAGACAGCGTATTGAACTAAATAGATCTCCAAGATATTAATATACCTTTCTGACATTTAGCTGGCTATCCTGAAACCCTTTTATAAGAGAAATTTAGATCTATAAAGGAAATCTCCATTTGTAAGGGTGTCTGTACACCAGACACTCTTATCATTGTCTTAAATTTACATAACAAGCCTTACCTTTGCTTTTTTTTTTTTTTTTTTTTTTTTTTTTTGGACACAGAGTCTCGCTCTGTCACCCAGGCTGGAGTGCAGTGGCACTATCTCAGCTCACTGCAAGCTCCACCTCCCGGGTTCACGCCATTCTCCTGCCTCAGCCTCCCAAGTAGCTGGGACTACAGTTGCCCACCACCATGCCCGGCTAATTATTTTGTATTTTTAGTAGAGATGGGGTTTCACCGTGTTAGCCAGGATGGTCTCAATCTCCTGACCTCATGATCCACCCACCTCAGCCTCCCAAAGTGCTGGGATTACAGGCGTGAGCCACTGCATGGGCCTATGATATATATTTTTATATGTAATAGTATTGAGTGAGTCTGTGGTATATCTTAGAGTGTAGGACATTGAGCCATTGGTTCCTCGTTGCTGGTGGCTCAGTGGTAAATTGCTGGCCAATAAGATGATGCTTATTTCAGGATGTGCTACACATTCCTTCTCTTTGTCAGTATCCCTTTGTTTTCTTCCTCTTGTTGGTTTCAATCACTAGGACTAGTCAGAGTGATGACCCCAGCTGTTTTCAGCTCCCACCTTGGCTCTGCCTCATCTAGAAGCAACCCAGCTGAGTTGTAGAGAAGCAGCGTGTAAATACAGATTATTCTGCCCTTCTTTCTTCTCGATGACTGACCCCACCCCTTTACAGTTGAATGATGCTTGAAAATTTTCAAAGTGCTCTCCATCTTTCACCTCATTAGATCTCTCTGATAGACCTGTCTTTCATCTCATTAGATCCTTCTAATAGACCTGTGAGTTAGAGCAGGCAACTTCAATTTAAGTCGGAAAGTGAGGCACAGCGATGCATCCTCCCTTGCTTAGCAAGGCAGTAGAAGAGCAGGGATTTGGCCCCAGGTCTCCAGTGTTTTTCCTACTTGACTCTCAACCTGTTATTGAGGACATTAACTAGCTTTAATTCTTCAGCTAGGATGGGTAAAAGCAGTGCTTTCAAAACTATGGGATGCAGCCCAATAGTGAAATCAATTTAATGAGTGCAACCGGTTTTTACAAATAAAATAGAACAGACTGGATAATATCAAAGCACATTGCACATAAAGATAAGTATCACTTAGTAAAACTTTTCATGTGGTTGTGCTGCTAGTTTTGTTTCCCAGGCTTTGGCTGTTTCTTGGTCTGGAACGGATTCAAATACCTTTAGGCTTGAATTTTGGATGCTGTGAGCCTTATCAGTTGCTTCCACCTGAGTTTTAGGAAGACTCGATTTCGGTGACAGATTGTTGGAAAGTGGTGTTCTTCCATACCTGCTAATCCAAGGCAGAAATGTGCCTCAAAGATGTGATAGGATCGCCAAAGTGCTTACAATATTGGGCTTGAAAAAAAAGAACCCCTTTTCCCTCAAAACCCACTGGATATCTCTGCCTAGAAAAGCTAGAACCAAAAAGATCATAAGCAGCTATTAGCATAATGGTAGCATGTGATTTTAAAGAAAGAGTAATATTTTTATCCTTTGCTCTGAGCATTTGACAAATAAACACACAGATCAGATAGCTGCTGCCAGGGGTCAAGGAAAATGTGGACAAGCCTGTGCTGGGCAGAAGCTTGGTGCTGGAAGAGGGCAAGAGCAGATATAGTTCTAGGAGCTTCTCCTAGGGCTGAGAAGCGGGACAGCGTCAGTCCTGAAAAAGGCTGCTTCATAACCTGGGGAGTCATTAAGGAGTGGAGTTATGTAGGGCAAGGCAGGACCAATGACCCATACCATGGAGGAGGGGAGGGTAGAGAGGATCTGTTCCCAGTAGCTGAAGCCTAGCTGGCTTACAGGCAGTTTCCATTGAATATCTGGACACATGGTTATGAGTATGAATGCTTAAGTCATCAGTTTACATTGCATCATTGAGAAAAACCAATAAATGGAAGGCAATCGATCAAGAAAGATGGTTTATAAATAATAAATATACTTTTAACATGGAGTGCCCTTTCTAATTGATTGCCTATTTGGCTAACTTTTCTTGAAGATGTCCAGTGGGATAATCACATACACATAAATCATACTCAGTCGAAGAGAGAATATTCTCTTAAAGATGTAGGTTTTGTCTGTGATTTTTACTACATATGTCAATTTTTTTCCCCTGTTGGACCATATCTCTGAAATGACAACGGAAAATATGATTTACAAATCATTTTACATAAAACTTTTTCAACTGATAATCTAAAAAACCAGTGATAATGAAGTCGATAACTGGTGAAATGAAGGTTGATTACATGAAGAAGTAAAAGATAAGTAACAGTAGAGGAAGAGATGTAAAATGACTCGGGACCTATGAAGATGTCAGGCTAGGGGTGGGCAGACAGGCACAGGCAGGTGAGACGGAGAGAGAGAAAGAGAAGGAGCATTTCCTAGTGGCCTCAACTTTTGCCTTTGGTTCTCTTGGAAACTTTTCTCCCTCCAGCACTGACCTCCCGTAGTCCAAACCCTGTGGTTCCCAGGAAACTTGATTCCTTCTCATGTGATATGACTTATTAAGCCTGGATTCATTTAAAAAAAAAAAAACTATATATTTCTATACACATAAAAACATACAGAAAAATACAAGTAAAAATATGCAAATAATAAACATATAAAGTATAATGTATAGATATAAACAAATGTATATATGCAATGTAAATATGTATATAAAATATTAACATAAATTATATATAAAACATACATATATGTGGCTGGGCACGGTAGCTCACACCTGTAATCCCAGCACTTTGGGAGGCTGAGGTGGGCAGATCACCTGATGTTGGGAGTTTGAGACCAGCCTGACCAACATGGAGAAACCCCGTCTCTACTAAAAACAAAAAATTAGCCGGTCATGGTGGTGCATGCCTGCAATTCCAGCTACTAGGGAGGCTGAGGCAGGAGAATTACTTGAACCCAGGAGGCGGAGGTTGTGGTGAGTGAGATCGTGCCATTGCACTCCAGCCTGGGCAGCAAGAGTGAAACTGCGCCTCAAAAAAAAAAAAAAACAAACAAAATAACAAAAAAACCCATACATATATGTATATGTATATCTATCTATCTATCATCTATCTATCTATCCTCTGCAGATCCCACAGCAGCCGAAGGCTTTTACCAAAAGGACAGTAGAGGTGTTGTTGGTCACATAGGCACACATGGCCCATGACACAACCTCTTCCTTTCTTGATTGTGTTTTCCTCCCCCTGTGGACCCTGTGGCTGGCTTCCCTTCCTGTTGCTACATTGAGCCCTCTGGTGGTGAAGGCTGATCAGGAGAAGGCTGCGGTCATGGCTGGACTGGGAGAGGGCTGAGGGGATTGTGGGGATGCAGCTTTTGAGTCCAAAGCAATGGCAAACAAACAGCAAGGATTGCTTTGTAATGGGCCACTCCAGAGAGGAGGAGAAACACCAGCCCACGTGCTCCACTGGTCCAAAGGCGCATTAACCACTAACCCCACAACCACACCCTCTCCCTCCTTCTTAAATCTTAGAGTTACCATGGATGGGCACTGAGGGGCTGGAGTCTCTTGAAGACAGCCCAGTTTGACAGCTGGTGTTTGCCTTTCAGGGGATGTGCCAAGGACAGAAATATCTCCATGGAGATTTTCCTTTCTCTGCTTCCATGTTTTCCCAGTGGTGACAAAGTTGCACCATGCTTTATTGATAAACTGTGAAGCGGAGATAAAAGATAACTATTATTATACCATTTAGGTCAAACGTTCAGTAAAGGACTCCCTCTCCCACCCTCAGCCTCTCTCTGGCCAGCTGCATGATGAGAGGGAGCATGTCCTAAAAGACAAAGGCTTGCATGAGTCTGTTCCATCAATGCTATAAAATCAGAGGTCCTGAGAGCCGAGCCTTGCTGGTATGGGCTGCTGACCAGTGGCCACTGGCACATGGGAGAATTAGATTGAGCATCTGGTCAACTAAACTCTACAGTAACCACTGGATGCATTTCAGTGTTGTGTGTCTGGATTTCAGTAGCATCGGACATTGGGTTGTAAATTGCAGAGCAGTGAGGCCAGAAGTGTCCAAGTTGCTTAGACCTTCTTAGGGGGGCATCCAATGGTAACTTAAACAATTTTTTCAGCCAGGCTTGGTGGCTCATGCCTGTAATCCCAGCACTTTGGGAGGCTGAGGCAGGTGGATCATGCGGTCAGTAGTTCAAAGCCAGCCTGGCCAAGATGGTGAAACCCCGTCTCTACTAAAAGTACAAAAAATTAGCCGGGCATGGTGGCAGGCGCCTGCAATCCCAGCTACTCTGGAGGCTGAGGCAGAAAACTGCTTGAACCCGGGAGGCGGAGGTTGCAGTGAGTTGAGATGGCACCACTGCACTCCAGCCTGGGTGACAGAGTGAGACTCCGTCTCAAAAAAAGAAAAAAAAAATTTTTTTTTTTTTCTAGGGTAGGGGGTTTTGGGGCAGCAATCAGCTTGGAAGGATTTTGTTCTGATGCTGTATTCGTGCTGGCCTTAGTAAGACTGAGAAAGTCTCAGTTTCCCCATGTCCAAAAAAGGTGGGTAGTTGATGGAGACTAGGGGAATGTGTGACTAAAGTACCTCCACCCCCTTGCTGTTGCCAGCAGAGTCAGCCACACTGTGATTTAGGAGACAGCCCTAATATTCAGACTAGAAATGGGCAAATCTCATGATCAGTTTGAAGAGAGGATTATGCACTGCATTCTTTATTTCTTTCTTTTTTTTTTTTTTTTTTTTTTTTTTTTTTTTTAGAAGAAAAGCTTTCAGCTTTTCACTTTTGAGTATGTTAGCTGTGGGCTTTCATAGATGACCTTTATTATGTTGTGGTACGTCCTTCCATACCCAGTTTGTTGCATTTTTTTTTTTTTTAACCATGATAGGATATTGAATTTTGTCAAATGCTTTTTTACAGCTATTGAGCTGATTGTATGCTTTTAATCCTTCGTTCTGTTTGTGTGATGTATCACATTATTGATTTGAATATGTTGAATTATAGTTGCATTTCAGGGATGAATTCTACTTGATCATGGTGCATAATCCTTACAGTTGACAGCCACCCAATACTTTTCCCTAGGGCAAGAGAATAAGATGCTGGGACTTTGGGTGCAAGTTTTTTTTTTTTTTTTTATTATACTTTGTTTTAGGGTACATGTGCACATTGTGCAGGTTAGTTACATATGTATACATGTGCCATGCTGGTGCGCTGCACCCACTAACTCGTCATCTAGCATTAGGTATATCTCCCATGCATTCTTTATTTCAAAAAACAGTTCTGTCTTGAAGTTGTCTGTCTTTGCTGCCATCTTTCTTACTACTTGTTTTAGATAAGTGCCTTCATGTTGCCAGCATCGTCCAGCTTCCTGAATTTTCACCAGAATCTGGCTGATGGCATTTTTCTGATTCATTGTCTTTACACAAGAACGATATTGATGGACAGAGCATGACCTTAAGCCTGCTTCTGTGACCATCCTTGTGTCCTCATCCACCACTCAGACCTTGACATTGACCCTCAGAATCCTTTGCAATTAAGCCCTTTGGTCACTTATGTTGGGTTTATAATCTATATTTATACCAAGAGAGTTTATTTTTGCCTGAGGCCCTTTTAGTTTGAAAAATTCTTATCAGGCCCGACTTTCTCATTTGTAGTTGAGGTAAGTGATTCTCAAGGAAGTTAAGTGAATTTATCTCAGAAACACAGCCATTTAGGAGGACTTTTTTTTACATTAATATGTGAAATTATGTGAAAATGTGCTCTGGCACCTTATTTATTCTGTCTTGCATGGAACTTGGTAAGAGGTGGCAAAGTGAGTGAGTGAGTATTGTTTGCCCAACCAGCTTCCTTTCGCCTTTTTGTGGTAATGTTTCCCAAAGGAAATATCTTTTCCCCAATGCGTGCTGGCTTTTGGGGCTTTCAATCAAAATGTCCTACCCACCTAGGCTGGACAGTTAGATTCACTTTGAGGACCTTGAGTCCTTTTTTTTTTTTTTTTTGTAGAGATGGGATTTCACCATGTTGCCAGGCTGGTCTCCAACCCCTGAGCACAAGCAATCTGTCTGCCTTGGCCTCCCAAAGTGCTGGGATTACAGGCATGAGCCGCTGAGCTCGGCTCATGGACCTTGAGTCCTGAGTGGGAGGGGGAAATGTTTGGGTTCCATATTTATATCAGCAGTGAGGCCCCAGTGAACTGCCAATCAGCCCCAGCTCCCCAGACCCCTAAGGGTCTGGTCCCTGACTTTTCTTGGGCTGATGGTTCAGGCCTACATTGCATACTGGCAGCCATCCTGTGTTTTTCTAATGGATTTCCATTTTACTTAAGAGAGGCAATTTTGGTTGTTTGCATAATGGTTATCCTAAGTAATGGCCTTCAGAAAATAAAATCATTGTCCTTGGGTTGTGCTTCATCATGGTGTTCAAAGAGAAGATGGCTGAGTGTGGGGATGGCCAGGTTCATGGTCTGTGTCATGCATCCTTGAGAGCTGATCCTGGATTGTGTCAGGATTCTCTTTCTCTAAAGACAGTGCTCCATCCAGTACTCCAAGGCGTTTAGCTAACATGGAGCCCCTGATGCATGAAAAATGCTTAATTTTCTTAACATCTGCCCTTGGCTTTCTCAGATTGATAAGCCATTCCCTACTGTACAATTCCTTTTGCTAAATTCAAATTTTTTGCTTTTATTTTGTTTGCTTCCAACCTTTTCTGGTCAGTTTGCTTAGGTAACTCAATCACTTACGGCTGAAAGCCTTCATTTGCTTGCTCAGAAGGCTTGGAATAAGGGGAGAGAAGAATGAATCCTGGAATGGTTTGTGACAGATATTAGACCTCTGAGCTGCGTGATTCTGACATTGTTCTGAACAATACAAATGTGGCTGAGCAGTCCAGTCGCAGCAGAATCTAATCCTAACCTGCCAGAGGGAGGATTAATGACTCAGAAAGTAGTCTGAGTCTGACAACATAAGGAAAAGCTTCTTGCCTGTGTTCCTGGATGATTTTGTCAGTTATTCACTCCTGTCACTGGTCCTAAAGTCATTTGGATAATGTGCACATGGTATCTGCTCAAAATAACTCTGGGTTATTTTGAAGAAGGAAGGAGTTACAGAGAGAATGTCACTCTCCCACGCCAATATGGAGACCCTTAGCCACCTTGACTCCTTTCTCATCTTCTTCTCTAACATGAAGGATAGACTGAGGGCAGGGCTGGCTCCTATCACCAAGTTCCATTGGGCAGGAGGCCTCAGTGAGTCCTGGAGGCCCCAGGCTGCTACTTTGGAGGGGTCAGACAAAAAAATAAGTGGCAAGATAAGTCACTAGGAATTTGTGAAGGTAGTGGCATTTGGGCGTGTGTAGAATTCAGACCTACCCATAAGGTGGGAAAAGTTATCCCAGACAGAGATGGATGCCATGTAGTTATGTTATTACTTAGTGGTAGTGTTTTATGTTGTCCTGTATAATTTTCTGTATCCTTCATAAGATTATTCACATTTTGAAAGTAGATTGTGTTAGTTTGTTTTGTGTTGCTATAAAGGAATACCCGAGGTTTGGTAATTTATAAAGAAAAAGAGGTTTCTTTGGTTCATGGTTCTGCAGAATACACAATAAGTGCGGTTCCAGTTTCTGCTTCTGGTGGGGCCTCAGGAAGCTTACAATCATGGTGGAGGGTGAAGGGGGAGCAGCATGTCACACAGTGAGAGAGGACGCAAGAGAGAAGCCAGGGTCTTTAAACAACCAACTCGTGTATGAACTCATTACTGCAAAGAGGGCACCAAGCCATTCATGAGGGATCCACCCCCATGACTCAAACACCTCCTACCAGGCTCCACCTCCAACACTGGGGATCACATTTCAACATGAAATTAGGTGGGGATAAACATCCAAACCATATCATTCTACCCCTGGCTCCCAAATCTCGTGTCCTTCTCACATTGCAAAATACAATCATCCCTTCCCAAGAGTCTCCACGTCCTAACTCATTCCTGCATCAACTCAATCAAGTCCAAAGTCCAAATTCTCATCAGAGATTCAAGGCAAGTTCCTTCCACCTATGAGCCTGTAAGACCAAAAACAAGTTATTTACTTTGAAGACACAATGGTGGTACAGGCATTGGGTAAACATTCCCCTTCCAAAAGGGAGAAATTGGCCAAAAGAAAGGGGTAACAGGATTCACACAAGTCTGAAATCCAGCAGGGCAGGCATTAAACCTTAAAGCTCCAAAATAATCCTTGACTCAATGTTTTGCATCCTAGTATGAGGGGTGGGCTCCCAAGGCCTTGAACAGCTCTGTCCCTGTGGATTTGCCATCTGAGGTTGTAAGCTGCCTGTGGCTCTACCATTCTGGGGTCTGGAGGGTGGCACTTCCGTTCCCACAGCTCCACTAGGCAGTGCCCTGGTAGGGACTCTGTGTGGAAGCTCCAACCTCATATTTTCTCTTGGGACTGCCCTAGTGAAGTCACCCTGTGGGGGCTCCACCCCTGAGGCAGGCTTCTGCCTGGTTATCCAGACTTTCCCATACATCTTCTGAAATCTAGGGGAAGCTGCCAAGCCTCCTTCACTCTTGCATTTTGTGCACCTACAGGCTTAACACCCATAGAAGCTGCCAAGGCTTATGGCTTGTACCCTCTAAAGTGGCAGCCCAAGTTTTAACTGATGCCGTTAGAACTCTGGTTGGAGCTGGAGCAGTTAGAATATGTGGAGCAGTGTCCTAAAGTTTAGCAGGGCAGCAGGCTCCAGCCTGGCTCCTCAAACCATTCCATTCTCCTGGGCCTCTGGGCTTGTGATGAGAGGGACTATCCCAAAGATTTCTGAAATACCTTCAAGGCCTTTTCCTCATTTTCTTGGCTATTAGCACCTGGTTCCCTTTTAGTCATGCTAATCTCTTTGGTAAGTGGTTGCTCCACATCCCTTTTGGATTTCTCCCCTGAAAGTGTTCTTTCCTTCTCTTATCACATGGCCAGGTTGTGAATTTTTCAAACTTTTATATTCTGCTTCCCTTTTAATGGTAAATTCTAAGTTTAAGTAATTTCTTTGCTCCTGTATTTGGTCGTTGGCTTTTAGAAGCAGCCATGCTATATCTTGAATGCTTTGCTGCTTAGGAATTATTTCCACCAGATACCCTAAGTCATCACTCTTAAGTTCAACTTTCCACAAATCCCCAGGACATGGACACAATACAGCCAAGCTCTTTGCTAGGGTGTAACAAGGGTGACCTTTAATCCAGTTCCCAATAAATTCCTCATTTCCCTCTGAGACTTCATCAGCCTGGCCTTCACTGTCTATATTTCTATCAGCATTTTGGTCACAACTACTTAACCAGTCTCTAAGAAGTTCTGAACCTTCCCTCATTTTCCTATCTTCTTCTGAGACCTCTAAACTCATCTAACTTCTACCCAAGCAGTTCCAAGGTTGCTTCCACATTTTCAGATATCTTTATAGCAATGCCCCACTTTTTGGTACCAATAAGGGAGAGCAGGGATGTTACATAATGAGAGGGGAAGCAAGAGAGATACCAGGCTCTTTAGACAACCAGCTCTTGCATGAACTCATTACCATGGGGAAGTCACCAAGCCATTCATGGGTGATCCACCCCCATGACGCAAATACCTCCTGTAAGACTTCACCTCCAACATTGGGGATCACATTTCAACATGAGACTGGAAGGGGACAAACATTCAAACTATATCACAGGGGTCTTAGAGTGAATCTTTCTCAGTGTCTTTTAGCACAGTGATGGACATGTAGAATGTGCTAGATTAAAACATGCACAATGATTGGCTGGGTTCTATTCCCATGGTGAAATGTCCTTCCCTCTGCTTACAGCTAAATTTAACTTTGATCTGCTGGGGTCAAACTGCAGCCAGGGATTGATTGCTTTTCACTCCACCAACTTTATACGATGAGCCAGGAGCATCTAGCTATTATAAACCAATGTAGATCCTGCTTCTTTTCCCCAGCAGCCTCTGAGCAGCTGTCAGGCGCCACTGATTCCAAGTCAATTTCTGGGCCTCAGATTTATTGGGTGAGTCATTGGCAACCTCTGAATGATTTCCAGTGAGCCAGTCACCTGGAACATGATTTTTGAATGAAAAGTTCATATATTGTTTGGAAAGAATATGGCAGTTATGGCTAAAGAGTCAGAGAGGAGGAAATGGTAGAGGTTGGCATGTGGGGTGGTGGCGCATGAAATGGAAATCTTTCCAGTTAAGTGGAAGAGCAAAACTCAGCACATAAATATTTCACTTAGATGGTCATCTAAGATCAAGCTACAACCCGGAGTTCTCTGATCCCTGGGATGAGCTAGCAGTTGGTGTACTTTCTAGTGTAGATACATTTGATTGAGAAGAAGGAAGATAGAAATGAGTCCAAACTGTCACCCTGAAGAGTTGTAGGCAGGTGGTCAGTTCTGAAACTTCCTAAAATCACCTTTGCAATGGACACGGTTGGCCTTCTTAGGGCTTGGAATGCAAGAATTTCACTTATTAGAGATTCATTTTTTTAAGCATTGCCCTCTCTTGTAAGCCTCAGCCAATGAAACAGAGGGTAAAGTTGTTATCAGGGCTTAGTACCTTAAAGTAAATTAACTTAGGAGATAACATTATTCCTTTGCAGGGTAGGGAGATGGTGGAAAGTGGAGGGAATGGAGGGAAATAAACATTTATTAAGGTCTTATGATGTACCGTGCACTATGCCAGGAACAGTACCCACATATTTCATTTAATCCTCACAACTGTGTGACAAATTTTTTTGGCCTCAGATTGTGAGGGTTGGTTGATTAGTGATACTTCATTGTTGATCAGTGCAATGTCCCTCTCTTGCTTCACTTATTTTTTTACCCTTTTAGCTTATTCTCCATGTCCATTCCCCAGTCTTACTAACAGCAACCGTTCTGATATGTTTGATGTATGTTCTTCTATTTGTGTTGTTTTATGTGTTTGTATTTTAAATTTACATGAATGGTATGGTAGCTTTCATCCTGTTTTCATTCTTTTTTCACTCACTACTGTTTAAAAAACTTTTTATCATGCAAAAATTTCAAACATTTTCAAAAATCAAATGGTATCTTAACTTTAATGTACTTATCACTCAAAGTCAAGTACAAACTTGTGGCCAATTATATTTTGTCTATACCCATTTTTTTCCTACTCACGCATTGCTCTGAAGTAAGTGGCAGAATCACTATTTCATCAGTAAGTATTTTGGTATGTACCTCTAAAATATAAGTACTTTAAAAATATGTAATCACTGTATCATATTATCATACATAAATATTAATATTAGCAATGATCATTTAATATCATCACCTATTCAGCTGATCAGCGTTTCCCAATTGTCTCATCATTATTTAGTTACTTGAATCAAGATTCAAATAAGATTTATACATTGTGTTTGTGATCTTTTTTTATCTTGCAATTTATTTGTTGAAGATCAGGTAATATATTCAGGGAGTTTTCTATAGTCTGAATTTTTCTGACTGTATCTCTGTGCTGCTGTTTAACATGTTTCTCTGTCCTCTCTATGTCCTGCAAATTGGTAATTATATAGATGCTTGGTCGGATGCAGGTCTAATTTTTGGGGGACAGGAAATACTTAGTATGTAAACTTTTAGACTTCCATTAAGAGGTGTCTAATATTGAGGTTTTTTTTTTCTTTTTTTTTTTGTTTGTTACGTCAGCAACGTTGATGGTCAGTGCCTAGATCCATGAGTTCCTTAGGGGTTACAAAATGTTGATAATCTAATTCTATCACTCCTTGTTTATTTATTAGCTGGCATATTCTATAAAGGGAAACTTTCCCTCACTAATTCTTCAGTAACACTGAGATGTAGTTTGTATAGAAAAGGCAAGATAAGTGCTTGATACTTTTATTTATCAATTTTCAAAATAATGAGTTCCTTCAAAGATATAGAAATAAGGCTTAAGATTAATATAAAACCCATGAATTCAAACACTTTTGATGATATTATTTGCAGTTATTATTCAATCAATGCTTAAATTGTCCTATCTTTGGCAGATGAGAGCCATTGCATGTTGTTTTTTCTAAAGTTGTTATTAACACCACCTTTTTAGTCTTTGACAGCTTTCTTACAGGCTGGTATAAGATGTTCCTGGCTCATCTTACACATTTCTTGCCTCAGACCTAGAGTCAGTCATTTCTCCAAGGAGGCCTGGTTTTTGATGAGTGGGAAGTTGTACTCCGAGGCCGCAGCCTGGGTGCTAGGAGAACTGTTTTTATACCTTATCCGTGTTGCCCTGTGTACATCCAATCTGCTTTTTTGAAGGCTACATCATATTCCATAGTGTGCATTCTCTACATGACTCAAGTCTGTTCCTCCAGTGCTCCACCTCCCTGCTAGCACAGACTACACTACCATGAGCGCGCATGTCCCCTTATGAACCTGTATGAGAATCCTTCTAGGATACATATTCCAGAGTCTATATGAGGCTTTTTTAAAGATCAATGTTACCATCCTTATTTTACAGGGGAGGCCACTAAGCAGCTGGGGGAAAGAAAGAGACTGTGGAAAGGGGACAGAGGGAGGGCTTGGAGAAGGGAAATGGGGCCAGAGGTAGAGTGGGAGAGCTTAAGTCTCCATTTCCCTTGTGTCTCTCTCGAGTGGAGGCCGTTTATTCTGTGGTGGTCCTGGTTTCATGGGTCCTGGAGGAAGGGCAGGCCAGGGCATGGATTAACATTCTCTTAGCTTTTCGTGGCTGCTTCCACATCGTTCTTCATGAGCCAAAAACTCCCAGTGTCTTAGGGCTCCTGCCATTGGAATATCTCACTCCTCTAAGGTTGTGTTTGTCATCTACACTTTGGGGTTTCTTCTGCACATCCACCAAAGTCTTTGTCAGATGACCGTGAGTCTTTTCCCCTGCGTGTCTACTTTTGTTTCTTTATTTATTTATTTTGAGACAGAGTCTCACTCTATCACCCAGACTGGAGTGCAGTGGTGTGATCTTGGCTCACTGCAACCTCTGCCTCCTGGGTTCAAGTGATTCTCCTGCCTCAGCCTCCCGAGTAGCCAGGATTACAGGCACGCGCCACCATGCCATGTTAATTTTTGTATTTTTACTAGAGATGGGGTTTCACCATGTTGGTCAGGCTGGTCTCGAACTCCTGGCCTCAAGTGATCTCCACTTTGGGAGGCCCACCTCAGCCTCCCAAAGCGCTGGGATTACAGCCGGGATCCTCTCCACTTCTTCCCAGCATCCTGGACCACCTCCTTATCCACATGGATGACCTTTCCTGCACCACAGCCTCTCAGCAACTGGGTCTTCTCTATACCAATGCTCTCCTCTCTGTTCTCTTCAGGGGACCTGTTCCCATTGCCACACCATGGACAGAGGTGGCAAGGGCAAAGGCTTGAAGGCTTGAAAGATGGCCATTACAGTTAGGGCAGAGTGTGGAGCCTGCAGGGCAAGATGAGGCTTCATAATCAGGCAGGGCCCATCACTCAGCGCTTTGTTGGTCGTATTAAAGATTTTGGCCTGTATTATAGGAGAAATGAGACGCTACAGAAAGTTTTTAAGTGAGGGCAGAGAGGGTGACATGTGTTGGTGATGGTGACCTGATCAATTCGTGTATTGAAAAGACCTCCAGGACTCCCATGCAGAGAAAAGACCAGAGCAAGAGTAGACCCAAGCTTGCTGGTGAGGAGGCCATTTCCATAAGCCAGTGAGAGATTAGGGTGGCTTGGAGCAGGACAAAGACAAGTGGACAGACTCGGGGGATCTTTAGGAATAAAAGTCACCTAGACCTGTAGGACATGGGAGGAGAGCGAGGGGAAGCAGTCAGGGACGATTCCCAGGTTTCAGCTTGCTCAACTGGACAGCAGATGGTGCCATTCCCTTGGTGGGGGAACAAGCGGACGGGGCCAGGCTTTTGAAGTCTGATGGAGTTGTTGTTTGTATGTTTACGGGCAGGGGGATCACAAACACTCTTGGATATATTGAGTGTGAGAAGCCTTGGAAACAAGGCCATGAAGACTTGAGTGGGTAAGGGAGGGATACCCAGGTCTGGAGTTCAGAGGAGAGGTGTGGCCTGGAGGGGAAGTTGGTATCATCAGCATGTAGGTGGAAATGAAGGTGGAGGTGCTGAGATGGTCTAAGAAGGGAAGCCGTGGGAGCAAAGAAGCCGGTCTTGGCGCTGAGGAGAATGAATATGCAAAGGAGATGGATGTGGGGGCAAAGAGCCAGGAAGAGAGGCAGAAGAGTGCAGTGTCATGGAGGCCACAAGAAGGGCGTATTTCAAGAAGGGGCTCTTGCTCTGCTGAGAAAGGGAGGTCAAGGAAGAGGAGGAACATGTCTGTGAAATTTAGCAATGTGGAATCATGACTAAGCTTAGAGCCATGTCAGTGGAGTGACAAGCCGGAAGCCATGTGGGAGTTTGGGGGAGAGAGAGGGAAGTGAGGTGATAGAGGGTCTTCTAGGAAGGCCCCTCAAGGGCTGGGCTGACTGAGTTGTGAAGCTCGCCCTTTTGTCCTACTTCCTGCCAGGAATTTGGACCTGACAGCTGGACAACAGTGTGGCCATTCTTGGGGCCATGAGGAAAAGGCCTGGAGTCTGTGATGTGAACTCCTGGAGCTGCTGAACCATCAGCAGCAGCTTGCACAATTCTGGAATTTTTTTTTACTTGAGAAAAATAAAACCTTATGTGTTTTTGCAGCTGACAATAATTTGTAACTGATAGAGTGTGCTGCCTGCGTTATCTGGTTTAATCCCTACAACTGCCTATTATTACTCCTATTTTACAGACAAGGAGACCCAAACACAGAGAGGTTAAGAAAGTAGAGTCACACAACTAAGGTGGCAGAACTGAGTTTAAAGACAGGGTTTCTCCTGGATGAGATTGGAGACTCTTACTTTAAGTGAAGTAACTCGGGAATGGAAAACCAAACATCGTATGTTCTCACTCATGAGTGGGAGCTAAGCTCTGAGGATGCAAAGGCATAAGAATGACACAATGGACTTTGGGGACTCAGGGAAAGAGTGCGAAGGGGGTGAGGGATAAAAGACTACAAATTGGGTTCAGTGTACACTGCTCAGGTGATGGGTGCACCAAAATCTCACAAATTACCACTAAAGAACTTGTTCATGTAACCAAACACCATCTGTTCCCCAATAACCTGTGGAAATAAAAATTTTAAAAAAAGACAGGGTTTATGACTCAAGACCAAGTCCTTAACCCCTGTAATATACTTTCTCAATAGCTATTATTGGGACTTTGGTGTTAATTGCCATTAGCCATCTCAAAAGACGACTGGGAAGATTACATGTCACAATGAGGCCAAATCTCCTTTCACTAAGGTAGGGATAGAGTAGGTGCTTAATGCATGCTTTGAAATACCTGACAATTCTTCCTGTACTTCATCTGTTACATATTTTGTGGAGATAGTGGTGGTGGTAGGGCATTGCTAGTAGACATTGAAAGTAATTTCTTTCCTTTTTTTTTTTTTTTTTTTTTTTTGAGACAGAGTCTTGCTCTGTCACCCAGGCTGGAGTGCAGTGGCACGATCTCGGCTTACTGCAACCTCCGCCTGCCGGGTTCAAACAATTCTCCTGCCTTAGCCTCCTAAGTAGCTGGGACTACAGGCGCGTGCCACCATGCCCGGCTAATTTTTTGTATTTTTAGTAGAGACGGGGTTTTACCATTCTGGCGGCCAGGCTGGTCTCAAACTCCTGACCTCATGATTCGCCCGCCTCGGCCTCCCAAAGTGCTGGGATTACAGGCTTGAGCCACCGTGCCCGGCTGAAAGTAATTTCTAAAACTATAATTCCACAATTCAACTTTACATGCACTCTAGTAGTTCATATTCAAAACTATCCTCCCGCTTATAATCACAGGGGAAAAAGTGCTGAAAGCAGAGAATCAAAGCTGCTGGTATAGGGAAATCAAGCTCCATTTCCACAGCTGTAACCATCTTTCAGCCACAGTGAGGAATGAGCACAGGGGGCTGGATCGCTTTCATTGCAGTTCTGTTAAGCATGATGTCACTAAGGGGGATTGTGAAATCACCCACTTCCAAGCAGAACAGAAAATCTGTCCAAGTTTTACAAATGTTATTTAAAATCTTAGCTGTCAGCCGTGAGAAAAATCCCTGCAGTCACATAAAAAAACCAGAATAGTTTTCAAAGATGGCTTTTATTACTAAGTTGTTACTATAAACATGCTTTCACCCAAACAGAGCAAAAATATGCAATTTCCTGAAAATGGGAGCTGTGAAATCACATCCCCAGAATATTTGTAATTACTGTTGATGATTCATTTATTAGCATTTCAGTACACATGTTGAGGGGGGAGGCGGGAAGACCAGCCTACCAGCATGTATCAACAATTAGTGGAGATACTATCTTTTCTTAATGAAATTTGATAAACAAAATTGCCTGATGGCTTGTATGTATTTTTTCAGAATTGAATAAAACTTAGAATTTATTAATGCACTTGCATTACTATAGTACTTTAAGCACTTGTCTAATATATACAGATTAAAACTTTACATGGTTTAAATAACAGGTTTTCCTCATCAAATATTTGGGTTAAATAAAAAAACCTGACATTTACATTCTTTTTTTTTCAATCATTGCCCAACAGTTTAGAACATAGAAAACTCAGTTTATCCCATATTCTCTATCACTACCATCTTGATCATGAAAGCTTATTTTAAAATGTGCCTATAATGAGTTTGTTGACACATACATTATAAAGTTAGAGTGAAAAGCTGAGGTGATCTATGTACCTGCTGCTGCTATTGATAATTTACTCTGCTTACCCTTGGCAAAAACGCTCAATGAACAATGTTTTAGAGTAGGGGGCTGAAATCCTTTCCGCTAGTCTTATAAATCATTCATTTTGGATTCAAATAATAATTACCATCCCTCCACTTTAGATATCCTACATATTTTAAATGGTGCAGCTCCCTATAACAATGGGAATGGGATATCGAGAAAATGGATGGCTGTTACATGTCAGTACTGGCAGCTTACTTTCCAGGTCTTATCCCTAAAGGTAAAGATTTGGTTATGTTTATACATAACATTGTATCGCTGTGTTCCATTCTGGGGATGGTACGGAGCCAGATAAGTGGGAAGTAAGTCTATGTCTGCATCCATAGGATGGGCTGGAGAACTGAAAATGTCTCTGGAAGAACATCTTTGTATACATAAGTATTTATATAGACATACTCATATAATCTTGTATGTGTGTGTTTATCTATAGACCTATGTATATCTATATCCAGATCTATCTATATTTCTATCTATATTCATACAGAATAAAGATATAGAAGGTAGAAGTATTGATAGATAGTGGTACTGATAGTAATACAAAAAGAAACTTCCGGGCCGGGCACGGTGGCTCACGCCTGTAATCCCAGCACTCTGGGAGGCCAAGGTGGGTGGATCACGAGGTCAGGAGATCAAGACCATAGTGGCTAACACGGTGAAGCCCCATCGCTACTAAAAATACAAAAAATTAGCCGGGCGTGGTGGTGGGCGCCTGTAGTCCCAGCTACTCAGGAGACTGAGACAGGAGAATGGCGTGAACCCGGGAGGCAGAGGTTGCAGTGAGCCGAGATCAAGCCACTGCACTCTAGCCTGGGTGACAGAGCAAGACTCCGTCTCAACAACAACAACAACAAAAAACAAAAAAACAAAAAGAAGCTTCCATAATGTAAAATCTTATTTGTCCTCTAAACGATATCCACAGTAGTACACAAATAAAGGTATGCTCTGACATACATCTTGCTGCATTTAATGTATACAAAGGAAGGAAGGAAGCATTGGTCCTTGTTGCTCACTTCTGTGAGGAGAAGAAAAGGCACTAACGCCATGGGAGTCATTCATTGCAGGTCAAGGTTGACCCTTCCCCTTCTGGTGAATAAGGGACCAGAGATGAACTAGCTTCAGCTTAAAGGCCCTCACTCAAATTTGAAAATGCTGAATACTTCTCATGAAAGCTTCCATCAATTCAGGAGATCTTCTTTTTTCTTTTGTTTTGAATGGGTGATGTAGAAGTGCCCTCTTGTCTTTCTGTATTGGTGGCTGGGGAAGTGATTCCTTGGGTAGGGGAAGAAAGGTCTGTGACTTGAATGAAGATAGACCGTGATACTGAAAGCAAATATCAGTTTTCTTTAGAGTCTTTTTTCTGTAGATTTAAATACAGATATATGTCAATAGATACAAAAACACACAGGGTTATAGGAATATGTCTATGTAATGTCCATTTGTGAATATGTCTTGTAAAAATTCCCCAAAAGAAAAGTAGATCAGAGGTCATTTCCCTACCCAGCCTCTCCAGCCCAGGTGCTTCCAATCAGCCAATTAGTTGAGCCCAGGTGATTTTAATCAGCCAATTAGCTAAATTCGGACTGCTGAAGAATCAAGGCAGGCCCCAAAGGGTGCATGTGAATAGGCATACGGTGAGAAGGAAAGCTGGGTCCTGAAATGCTAACCTAGACATAAAGCATTACATGGCTGTACTGCCAGCTTACTTCCCAGACCTTGCCCCTAAAGGTGAAGCTTTGTTTATACAAACAATACTGTAGGGCTGTTTTCCAATCTGGGATGTTATTGAGCCATGTGGAAGGGAAGTAAGTCTATGTCTGCATGCTTAGAATATGCTGGGGTATTGAAAATGTCTTTTGGGGAACATCCTTTGTATACATGAATATTTATTTAGACATACTCATATAATCCTGTATATGTGTGTTTATCTACCTATTTATGTTTATTTCTAAATGTATCTTTGTATATATATTCATACAGAATAAAGACATAGAAGGTGGAAGTAATTTTTAAAAAAGAAAATGGATAGCTTTATCTTTATTATGGGAATTAGTGAAACCACACTCTATGCTTTGAGCCCCTACAGTGTGCCGGGAACTTTGGGGTTATTATCACGATCATTACAACAACCTTGCAAGGAAGGCGTATCAGTTGGAGAAATGGAGATTCAGGATGGTGAAGAAACTCAACCAAGTTTTCACTGCTAAGAGCGAACAGAAATGTTACTTTAAGATATTCCTATTGCTGTGGTTTGAGTATTTGTTCCCTCCAGAACTCACATTGAAATTTAATTCCTAATGTGCAATTATTGAGAGGTGGGGCCTTTAAGAAGTGATTGGGTCATGAATAGATTAATCCATTCATAGCTTAATGGGTAAATGGATTAATGGATCATCACGGGAGAGGAACTGGTGGCTTTATAAGAGGAAAACAGACCTAAGCTTAGCATGCTCAGCCGACTTGTCATGTGATGCCCTGTGCTGCCTGATGACTCTGCAGAGTCTCTATGTAAAAAGATCAGCAAGATGGTCCGCACCAGATGTGGCTCCTTGACCTTGGACTTCTTAGTTCCCATGATGGTAAGAAATAAGTTCCTTTTCTTTATAAACTTCTCAGTTTCAGGGATTGTTATAAGCAACAGAAAATGGACTAAGACACCTATGCAGCTACTGTTTAACGCAGCATGGAGATTCTGGCCAGTGGGATAAAGAAATAAGAGGAGAAAGGATTGAAAGGAAGAAATAAAACTGTTTATACATGATATAAATATCTATGTTGATAGTCTAACAAGATCAATGATTAGAACTAATAAATGGACTTGGAAGATTTTGCTGGGTATAACATTATCCAGAAATAAAATAAATAGTATTTCTTCACACCAGTCATATCCAATTAGAAATTTTGACAGTAATAAGATACTATTCACAATATCGATAAGTATTTAGGTGTTAACATATATAAAAATACACAAGATTTTTATGAAAATAAATTTAAACTCAGAATGACATAGAGGATCATCTATGGAAACATAGTCCATGCTTTTGATGGGATAATTTAATATTACAGAGATGTTAAATTTCTCCTAATCTCTAAACTCAATGCAATCCCAATAAAAATCTCAGTTGAATTTTTTTGTGAACTCAATAATAATTTTAGACTAACATAAATTATAAAATATAAGGAAGAATAAAAGGCCACAAATAACTAAGCAAACTCTAAAAAAAGAGCAAAGAATGGAAGGTGAGGGGGGGACATTCACTCCCCATATTAGAACAATTTCAAAGCCATAGTAGTAAAGACAATATAGAATGGACTTGGGAAGATGGATAGACCAAGAGAACAGAGAGGAGAGCTCTTAGACAGAGTCGGGTACATGTGGGAACTTAATCCACAAAATCAATGGGGGAAAGAATGGTTGTTTAATAGAAGGTATTGAGAAAGCTGCCTCATTACATATTTCTTTTTTTTTTTTTACCCCCAAATTCCTTCATACTGTGCCTCACTACATAAAGGAAATTAAAACTGGATATGAACATAACACCACATGTAAAGGCAGATTCCAGATGGATTCAATAATTAAAAATTAAAGAAAATACAAGCTGAAAATGGAAAATATCTTTGTGATTTAGAGATAGGGAAGAGCCTTCTAAACAAAACCTTTCAGCAGAAGACATACTTGATCCTATCAAAATACAGGACATCATTATAAAGTTAATAGATAACAGAATGGCAGCTAATAGATAATAGCATAGTTGGCAATGCTTAAAACAGTGAAGTTGCAATGCTTGAACAGTAAAGCATAGAATGTGGTTTTACTAATTCCCATAATAAAGAAATAGTGATCCATTTTCTTGGTATCTCATTTTATTGCTACAGGGAGCTGTACCATTTAAAATATGCAGGATATCTAAGCAGTGACTATTACAGATATGAAGGGGGAGGGTGGGAGAGAGAGAGGGAGAGAGACCGAGATTTACGAGGGATTAACATTGTCTTAGTTAGGGCTTCTATAACAAAATACTGTAGATTGGGTGGCTTAAACCACAAAATTTATTTCTCACAGTTTCAGAGGCTGGGAAGTCCAATATCAGGGTGCTGGTTGAGGATTCTCTTCCAGGCTTGCAGATGGCTACCTTCTTTCATGGAAAAGAGAGAGCATCTTTTCTTACAAGGGCACTAATACCATCATGAGGGCTCCACCCTCATGATCTCATTGCCTCCCCCAAACCGCATCTTCAAATACCATAACATTGTGGGTTAGGAGGTCAGCATATGAGTTTTGGGGGCTTGCAATTCGGTCCATGGCAGATACCTAAGCTATTCAAGAAACTCTACCAAAGAATAAAACAATACAGAAATGTCCTCAGAAACATGGAAAGGGATTCAAAGAAGCAACTTATGAAAGTAGAAACTGTAGGAAATCGAAATATTCCAGCCCCAAACTTGCCACTCTGGCATATCGGTTATTTTTATTTATTTAATTTATTTTTTGAGACGGAGTCTCACTCTGTTGCCCAGGCTGGAGTGCAGTGGCGCAATCTTGGCTCACTGCAACCTCCGCCCTCTGAGTTCAAGTGATTCTCCTGCTTTGGCCTCCCAAGTAGCTGGGATTACAGGCGCCTGCCACTGCACCCGGCTAATTTTTGAATTTTTAGTAGAGACGGGGTTTCACCATCTTGGCCAGGCTGGTCTTGAACTCTTGACCTCGTGATCCACCCGCCTCAGCCTCCCAAAGTGCTGGGATTACAGGCGTGAGCCACTGCACCCAGCCTGGTTATTTTGAATTAAAGGCACTTTGAAAAACAGCACAAGCAAGAATGACACTCTGATCCTTCTTTTTCTCCCCGAAAGTGGGAGCCAAAACTGCTTAGTGAAAGGGGCCCCCTCTGTACCAGGAGGAAGAAAGACCTTCTTAAAACCAGAGATGAGGAGTTGAGGCCAAGAGAAATCTGCACAACCCAACCTTGTTAAACTGGCGTTTATCTTCCCAGTGACAGCTCCACCACTAACTGCCCTGGCCCAGGCTCCTTTGTCTTGTCATGTTCTCACAATATACTGCTCTTTGTCCAGCCTAGTATGTAAGTGTTAGCCTCTAACTGCTTCTTTGGGTCTTCATTTTGCTTGTGGGGACTCTCATACACATGTAAAAATTACTAAATAAAATTTGTGGCCGGGTGCAGTGGCTCACACCTGTAATCCCAGCACTCTGGGAGGGTGGGGCGGGCAGATCACCTGAGGCTGGGAGTTCGAGACCAGCCTAACCAACAAGGAGAAACCCCATCTCTACTAAAAATACAAAATTAGCTGGGCATGGTGGTGCATGACTGTAATCCCAGCTACTCAGGAGGCTGAGGCAGGAGAATCGCTTGAACCTGGGAGGCGGAGGTTGCGGTGAGCCGAGATCGCACCATTGCACTCCAGCCTGGGCAACAAAAGCGAAACTCTGTCTCAAAGAAAATAAATAAATAAATAAATAAAATTTGTATTTTTCTCCTGTTAATCTGTCTTATGACAATTTAATTCTTGGGCCCAGCCAGAAACACTAAGAAGGTAGAGAAGAAATTTTATCTCCATGACAAAACCAAAAAGGCTACCATGAGCACATGCTCCAAATCGTTAGTAATACTGTTCAAGAACGGCAAGTTAAACAAGAAAGAGCTGACACTTAGACCTGTTAGAATGCCAAAATTAGACAGTTGGATTATGCCACCTGTTATTGGGAGTGTGTAGGGACATAAGGAATCATGTGCTGCTGGTGGGAAGGTTGACCTGTGCAGCGGCTTTGGAGGCCAACCTGGTGGTCTTAACCAAATTAAGGTCATATCCTATGACCTGCTGATGTTGGTCATATACGTTGGTCTCTTTGACTGCCAATATGTATGAAATTGGCTCTATTTCTCTGGAGAAACTTGACTAATATCGATATGAAGGGGCAGGGTGGGAGAGGGATAGGAAGAGAGACTGAGGTTCGTTTTAAGGAACTGGCTCACGTGATTGTTGGGGCTGACAGACTGAAATCTGTGGGGTGGGCAGACGGGCTGGAAATTTGGGCAAGAGTTGATGTTATAGTCTTTGGTTTGAGGTTGGAAACTCAGGTATAATTCCTATGTTGCAATCTGGAGGCAGAATTGCTCTTTGAGGGGCCTCTGTCTTTGTTCTTAAGGCATTCAACTGATTGGGTGAGGCCCACCCACATCATAAAGAGTAATCTGCTTTATTCAGAGTCTCCTGATTGTGGCTGGGCGCGGTGGCTTACACATGTAATCCCAGCACTTTGGGAGGCTGAGGTGGGCTGATCACCTGAGGTCAGGAGTTTGAGACCAGCCTGGCCGACATGATGAAACCCTGTCTCTACTACAAATACAAAAAAATTAGCTGGGCATGGTGGCTCATGCCTGTGGTCCCAACTACTTGGGAGGCTGAGGCAGGAGAATTGCTTGAACCCCAGAGGCAGAGGTTGCAGTGAGCCAAGATTGCACCACTGCACTCCAGCCTGGGCGAAAGAGTGAGACTCTGTCTCAAAAAAAAAAAAAAAAAAAAAAAAAAAGTCTACTGATTGTAAATGTTATTTGTATCTAAAAAATAACTTCACAGCAATATCTAAACTGCAGTTTGATCAAACAACTAGGTATTACAGACTAGCCAAGTTGACACATAAGATTAACCCATTATAGTATCTGCTAGAGGCTGAATTGTATCTATTCAAAATTCATATGTTGAAGTCCTAACTCCCAGTACTTCAGAATGTAGCCATATATGGAGATAATGTGTTTAAAGAGGTAATTAAGTGAAAATGAGGACATTAGGGTGGGCCCTAACCCAATATGAGTGACGTTCTCATAAGAAAAGGTGATCAGCACACAGACACACACAGAGGGAAGACCACAGGAAGCCACTGGAGAAGGCAGCCATCTGCAAACCAAGGAGCGAGGCCTCCAAAGGAACCAACCCTATAAAACCTTGATCTCAGACTTTTAGCTTCCAGAACTGAGGGAATAAGTTTCTGTAGTTAAAGCCACCCAGTCGGTAGCACATTGTTATGGTAGCCCCAGAAAATGAACACAATATCCTACACAACTGATGTTTTATGTAGCACAGCTGGGAGGAGGTGAGGACGATGAAACCCAGTGTCTCAGAACCCTTGGGTTCCCTGTGCCCTCAGGGGTCCAGGCAGCGGTAACTCTACCTCTGCCAGGGAGGAGGGCTCACAGTGTGGGGTTCTGTGAATCTTGGCTGAATGGAAAGCTTCCTCCTACCTACCCACCAGGTGTTGGGAACCTGGGCTCAGAGAGTTCTGGGGGTCCTAGGCTTAGGGCTGCGGGAGCCTCCCTGTCTCTCTGCAGTGTGAGAAGCCTCTCTTCATTGAGAAAGTTGGAGCTAAGAGCTTTTCCCGAACTCCAAAGCTGACCTTAGGTGGGGGTGGGGGCAAGCGAACCCTGCCCTCCTCACCCATGTTTCCAGCATCAGCCCTGAAGTCCTCTGATTAATTTCATGTGGGTAAACAGGCATGGCAGATGTGTGTGTTTGAAGCCATCAGTCATTCTCTCTTTGTTAAAATCAAATATAAAATGAGCTTGCTTCATTACAGCTAGCTGAAAAGTGCACAGGAAACACATGCCTCCTTTTCACTTGTCCTGGAATGGAGCGAGTATGATTCTTTCTCCTCTGGTCCCTGAAAGGGGCTTGTCTCAGGGCAGTCCTTGGGACCCATCACCCCCTGGCTTCAGCCTAGGCCCCTCAGGGAGCTTCTCCCATCTCCTTGGTGCATCCTGAAGCTAAACATTCAGAAATCTAGAGAAGTTTCAGGAAGACCTTGTTTGGTTGAAAGGAGGTTATGGGCTGAGCTTTAAAAACAACAAAAACAAATTCTTCTTTTCAGTTAGGCCCAGGAACCCCTCCTGAAGACAAACAGGAACTTTAAAGGCAGTATCGAACATGCACTGAATGCCCAGTCGGGCAGGGAGCAGTGGCTGTGCCTACCAGACATTTCTGATCTCGTTTAATCTGTGCAGCATCTAGTGGCGACAGCGTTATCCTCTCCATTTTACAGCAAGGAGCCCAAGGCTCATCAAGTTTAAATGTCCCAGGTGGGGCAGTGCCTGGGTCAGAATTCTCAGCCAGGTCTGACCCCAAGCCCTGCGGGTGCTTTATCCTCTACCTTCAGCTGATAACGCACTGAAGGCAAGAATCACAGAACCACTGAAAATTAGGGACAGATAGGACTACAGACCTCAGGGAATCGAGGAAACTGAGGCCCAGGGGAGGTGGAAG
Organism: Homo sapiens; assembly: GCF_000001405.40. Classification (NCBI taxonomy): domain Eukaryota; kingdom Metazoa; phylum Chordata; class Mammalia; order Primates; family Hominidae; genus Homo; species Homo sapiens. Next base: position 92,672,437 of record NC_000015.10, on the reverse strand, counting down.
TGGGAGCGGGAGGGGAGGGCAGATGGTGAAATGACAGGACCAAGAACCCATGTCCATAAATCACCAAATAGCCTCTGCCCTTAGTGACAAAGCAGATCCGGAGCCCGGGGAAGTGTCCTGTCCTCTAGCCCCGAGTCTCCAACCTCTGGCAGCCTGTGTGTCTGACAATCTCTGTCTGATTCTGATCTGTAGCCAGCACGAGTGTTCCAGACCACCAGGGAAAAGATCATTGAGGATTGACAGCTACAATAGAGTTATTTTTTACCATCTCTTAATTAGGTGTAAAATAAAACTAGGCATAAACTGTTTATGCTTCAAGCTCTTATGCACCTATAAAACCAAAAACAAATTTACAAATTGAAAGCAGAAGAGAGTACATAGGCACATCTAAACGACATTATTTTGATGGGACTTATGATGAGCTGTACTAAAAATAAATGCCTATTGTTGGCTTAATAATGAAAAGATGCAGCCTTGGGTCTAGTTTTATATCTATTGCTGTATTTTGACTTTAATAATATCCATGCAAAGACTGTCTCTTATTAGAATGAGGCACACATGGTATTTAACGTCAAGGCTGTATTTGCTACTGCTGGACAATCAGGCACTATATGGCCCTTGATAAATGTGTACATGGCTCACATTCACTTAAGGATATAATTAGCATTATAGCTTTATTAAAATCTACCTCAACTGGGGTTTCTCTTCCCATTTTTTTTGGAATGGGAGAAGAAAATATCTTAGTAAATGTATATTTACTACTCACTGCTAATGAACTGCTGCAAACACTTACGTTTTGACAGGATGCACAAACTGCATCTGTTTCTGCAGCTAATTTGAGACTAACAACTACTTGCTGGTCATTTGGAGTCTGTTTTGCTTCAATTGCTTTGTGCCATGGGAGGATTTGGTTCCCTGCTTGGTCCTTCTATCTGAACTAATTCGAAATCTGTATGTGTGCATTGCCTTTACACAACTCAAAGATCAGCTAGGTGTGGTGGCTCACGCCTGTAGTTCTAGCTACTCAGGAGGCTGAGGAGGGAGGATGGCTTGAGTCTGGGAGTTCGAGGCTGCAGTGAGCTATGATCATAACACCGCACTTCAGCCTGAGTGACAGTGAGAGCCCTGTCTCACAAAGCAAACAAATGAAAACCCCTCAAATACCGAATTTTGTAGGGGCACTCAAATCTTGCAGTCTTTTATAAAGGGGCAACCAGTTAATGACAATAGTAATATTTTTAGATTATTAGCAAATTGAAAATGCAAAGAAAAAAAATCCTCATACAGAACTGGCGGGTCCCTGAGAACATGTCTGTGGACTCCAGTTTGAGAAACACTGGCTAGAAAATGGAACCATCTGTCCCCTTAAGGAAGACACAGATGAAGTGACCTCTTTTTCATTTCTTCAACTTCCTGGGGGAATATCAAGCTGTGAAGGCTCTGAAGGGATAGGCAAGCTGTGAAAAGCTGTTAGGAACTTGGGGACAGGCCAGGAATGGTTAGGGAGCTGAGAATTCTCCAGTTCCTGCCCTGAAGACAAAGTGAAGGGAACAGAGGGTATTAAACACTTGCGGTTGACAATAGCTAGAGTAGGGATAACTTTGGAAAGACCCAGTACAGCAATTAAGAGGTAAAGAGCCACAACCCAGTGCCCTAAGGCAGAAGTTCTCAACTGGCTGCCTATTAGACTCCTCAGGGGAGCCCTTTAAACGTGCTGATGCATGGATCCATCAAAGATTTGAATTAATTGGCCTGGAGTTGAGCATCAGTGTTTGTAAGGTCCTCCAGGGGATTCTAATGTGCAACCAAGGTGGCTGATCCCTGTCCTAAGGGAAGCCTTCTCTGTGGTATAATTACATTTAAGGCCACCTGTATTAATTTGTTTAATGGGGAGAAGGGAACAAACCCTTATTGAATGCACTGTGCTAACTCTTTAAAAAAAGTGAATATAAATAGCAGCTAACATTTATTGAAAGCTTGTTATATGCCTGGCATTGTGTTAAGCACTTCATATGCTTTTTTTTTTTTTTTTTGAGATGGAGTCTCCCTCTGTTGTCCAGGCTGGAGTGCGGTGGCGCGATCTCGGCTCACTGCAAGCTCCGCCTCCCGGGTTCACGCCATTCTCCTGCCTCAGCCTCTCGAGTAGCTGGGACTACAGGCGCCCGCCACCATGCCCGGCTAATTTTTTGTATTTTTAGTAGAGACGGGGTTTCACCGTGTTAGCCAGGATGGTCTCGATCTCCTGACCTCGTGATCTGCCCGCCTCGGCCTCCCAAAGTGCTGGGATTACAGGCGTGAGCCACCGCGCCCAGCCCCTACATGCATTTAATCTTTACAACATTCTTACGAAATTGGTATTATGTCCATTTTACAAATGAGGAAACAGAGGCCGAGACCAAGAAATTTGCCTTCAATCATTCAGTAACAAACAAATATACAAATGAAAATAATAACTTGCCTAAGGTCATACAGCGAGGGGATGGGATCCGAACCACGGCCTTTAGTTCCTCCACTGCCTCCACACTACCTCAATAATGCGTTCAGCACCTATTTATTGAGTATGGGCTATATAAGTGCCTGACACCAGGATAGGTGTTGGGGACACGAAGATGATCAAAGTAAGCTTTCTGCTGCCTCCAATCTTATCAGAAAGACAGCTAACTCCAAAACAATGTGATCTGTGCTATTAGAGTTGCCCTTGTTTGCCCCGGACTCTCCTAGTTTTAGCACTGAAAGTCTCACATTCTGGGCAACTTCTTCATTCCTGCCTGGACTGGGACAGCTGGTCCACCTTAACTGTCCTAGAGGAATGTGTGTGGGCAGGGGTGAATTTGTATGGGGTGGTGGGGGATTGTGCAGAAGAGATTAGCAAAATCTTCACAAAGGAGCTTATGTCTTGTTTGTAGAATGATTAGGAGGAGTTCTTTAAGCAAAAAATGGAGAGGAGAGGGTTAAGGAAGAGCATTCCTGGTGGAAGAACCAGGGAGCAGTTTAGGCAAAGGCTCGGATGGAAGGAGTTTAGTAAAGTTAAGAGTTTGGGGTGCTGGGAGGTAAGGGTTAGATGAAGCTAGGAGTTTAGTGAATTTAGAGTTTGGGGTGCTGGGAGGTAAGGGTAGATGAAGCTAGGAGTTTAGTGAATTTAGAGTTTGGGGTGCTGGGAGGTAAGGGTAGATGAAGCTAGGAGTTTAGTGAATTTAGAGTTTGGGGTGCTGGGAGGTGGGGGTGGGGAAGCTGGGCCCATACTAAGGAATTAGGACTCTACTGGCAGAGTTTAAACCCCATAAGGGTTTTCAGCAAGGGAGTATTATGCTTGATTTTGCATTTGGACAGATCACTCTGATTACGATGTTAGGGTGGGAATTCTCCTGAAGAGAGGAGCCTGGAGTCTTGGAGAACGGTTGGAAGGATGTTATAATACAGGTGACACATGAGGACAGGAAAGAACAACAATAAGAAACATAATATGTAATGTTTATTGATGACTTAATACGTACCAGTTATTATGCTAAGTTCTCTACATGTGCTATCTCATTTAATCCTAATGATAAGTGAGCTGCTATCTTTATGCCCATATTACAGGTGAGGAAATTGAGACTTAAGGTTTAATTTAGTGCAAGTTACACTGAGAGTAAATGGCAAAGCCAAGATTCCAGCTCTTGCCTTCTGACTTTAAATACGTGCACTCAACTCCTGTTGCTTGCTATAAACTACGGCAGTAGGTACTTATCCATTCAGTCCAGCAACATTTATTGAGCACTTACTGTGTGCCAGATACATTTCTGGTTGATGAAGAAATAGCCAATGAACAAAACAGACACAACTCCTGATTTGATGGACATTACGTGTGTGTGTGTGTGTGTGTGTGTTTTGAGAGACGTATAAACAAACAAGTTACACTAACTTACTCGTGGTTGGATTTGGACTGTTTCTGGAGAGAAGAGGAAGGACTTAGTAATGGGGGGATTGTAGGGGGACCCCTAGGTTCCTGCCTCCGCCAAGTGCAGTGTGGTGGCCAGCAGAGCGTAGGAGCTCTGGAGGTAGGGCAGGTTTTGGGGAACGATGAAGAATCTTGTGTGGGACATGCTGGGTACCTGAGAACCCAGGGAGAGGGGCCAGAGTGAGAAAAGAACTCAGCAGGAAGCCCTGGGGACTGAGTTAAAAGGGAGAGGAGCCAGCTCCCGAGAGAGGGGACAGAGAGGTCAGAGGGAAGATAGAAAACTGGAGACCTCCAAGGCAGGAAGCCCTGGCATCATCAAATGCCACTTAGAGGTTCAGGGAGGGCAAAAGGGAGACACACAAAGTTGTAGGCTCTCCCCTCCCGCTCCCCCTCCCTCCCTCCCATTCCCCCTCCCGTTCCCCCTCCCTCCCTCCCTCCCTCCCTCCCTTCCTTCCTTCCTTCCTTCCTTCCCCTCTCCTCTTCCCCTCTCTCTCTCTTTCTCTCTCCCTCTCTCCCTCTTGGTTTCTCTTTTCTTTTCTTTCTCAGTGAGAAACCAGAATGGGAAATATCTACTGGAGGGTGAAGATACAGGAGGAAGCAGAGGTAATGCGTGAAGCAGAGCCTCAGAGGAGGTGGAGGAGGGTTGAACTCAGGGCCAACGTGTGGGGGCTGGTCTCAAACAGGAGGGTGTATCCCTGAGGCTGGAGAGGAGTGAGAAAAAAATGGTCAGGAACGCAGAGCAGCGCCTCTCGGGAAGTGGCTGCCAACGTTACTTGTGAGGTGGAAATGTCCAAAGTGGGTCTAGGATGCATCAACACAGGGGTGAAGGTTTGGGCTCCACACTGTGGGGAACAGGAGAAACAGCCATCCACCCGGGGCCATCCCCAAACTGACCTTTTCTGTGTCCCTAACCCTCAGAGGCCCGAGCTCTGCCTGGGAATTAAAACACAAATTCCTGCAAACGTGAGGTCTAACTCCACTGTCACGGAGAGGCTGACGATGCCAGCTGTGGGAATTGCAGTGGGGACAGGTATGGAGAGGATGTTTCTGGACATGGGAGTGACTGCCACTTGGAGCTGCAGGCAGAAGCAACAGCTGGTGTGTTTTCCTGAGCAGGTTGGGGGATGGCTCAAAATCAATATTTACTTTACAAACAGCCATCCGGAGGGTGAACCGCCCTGCCTCTCACCCTCAGCTTTTCTGGGGAAAGATGTCTGTGGCCTGCTTAGCTCTGCCCTGCTGGTCTTCGCCTCTCGATCCAAAGCAACTTTGATGTGTATGGGAAAAGTACTGCACTGTGAAAGGAACTGTGGACAGATGGTCCACCTGAGCTCAAAGGTGGGGTCCCTCCACGTATGCACCTCAGGACTTTCCATCCTGTGGGAATCTCCTAAAAAGTTGCTCCATGGGTGGCACTCTCTGAGCAGCACGATTGGTGGGGAGGGCTCTGTCAGCAATATTATGTCGTCACTGACGTCTGCAGGCTCTCCTAGGGGACACTTCAGAAACTTTCATAGAAATATTTCTCTTTGGCAACAGCTCGCTGTTTCCATGGTTTGACGATACTAGCCAGCTGTAAAGTAGGCCAGCACGGGAGAGGGCGGCCCTGGGGACACGGGCTGCATGGCACGCTCATTTCCAACCCTGGGGCAAGTCAGATAACCTCATTAGGTCTCCATTTCCTAATCTTCAAAATGGAACAACAGTGTGAGCCTCAGTGGCCTGGTGTTGTGAGAATGAGGATTAAAGAACTGCAAATTTTTGAGTTTTTTTGGTGAATAATTGTGAAGTCTTTTGGAGGACATATTTCAGAAACAAATGAAATAATAAAGCAGACCTTAAATGTATTGATATAAATTTTGCATAGGTCCAGTAACCTTTTCTTTGCTACGCTTAGTGATCTACTGATTTAAAAAGAGTCCTCTCATATGATACTGACAGAACATTTTTAACCTATTTTTTTTTAACCAGCAATAAGTTTACATAGTTCAACATTCCAAATGCATGAAGGGATACAGTTACTATTCCCTTTCCTGCCCCTGTTCCAGCCATCCAGAGTTCCCCTGCCTAGGTAGGGTGACCAACTGGTCCTGCTTTGTCTAGGACTTTCTGTTTTAGCTCTGAAATGTCCTCATCCCAGGAGACTCCTGAAACCCCAGCAGACTGGGATGGTTGGTCACCCTCTGCCATAGGCAACCAACATTATGAGTCTGTCATGTGTCCTTCTGAAGATATTTTGACAACAGCAATGTTAGTATTAAAAAAAATCCTTTTAGGTAAAGAAATAAAATGTCTTTCTCATAAAACACTAATGCATGAGGCTGGGCATGGTGGCTCATGCCTGTAATCCTAGCACTTCAGGAGGCTGAGGCGAGTGGATCACCTGAGGTCAGGAGTTTGAGACTAGCCTGGCCAACATGGTGAAACCCCGTCTTTACTAAAAATACAACAATTAGTCGGGCGTGGTTGCGGGTGCCTGTAGTCCCAGCTACTTGGGAGGCTGAGGCAGGAGAATCGCTTGAACCCGGGAGGCGGAGGCTGCAGTGAGCCGAGATCACACCACTGCACTCCAGCCTGGGTGACAGAGCAAGACTCCGTCCCAAATACAAACAAACAAACAAAAAACCAAACTAATGCATGACATCAAGGGGATAAGGGAGCCCACAATAACATGGAGGCCCAAATCTTATCATCAAACATAATTGTTTTTCCCATAATTGTTCTTACGATTGTAATTTCCAGCTCCAGAATTGCTATCCTTCTGCAAAGGAAAACTCCCTCTCAGTCTTGGGAAAAAGACTCCTGTAAACGTTAACAATCTGTGGCCCCATTTCTCATAGCCGTGGTTGACCGTAGACTCCATTATCAATTTGTTTATAATTTATTTTTGTGGAGTTAAAAAAAGCATTTGTGTACTTGGGATTTGGATTTCATAAGTATGCTTATTTGGCAAGTTATCTTTTAGATTTCCCTGTGCAAATGTAACTGATTTGGGAAAGCCCCATTTCAGAGAAAGCATAACACAGCCCTTATCACGTGTGAACTGAGAAAGACATCGGAAAGCCTTTTCCAGGCTAAAAATAGACCTAGAACGAGGTGTATTTTAGCTTCGGGACTTTCGCAAACTTTCTGGCAAACTAGCACTTTATTGTTTATGTATAAGGGGCTGACGTTCCTTTTAAATGTTCTAGCTTCAGGCTATCTTACTTTTGTGCAAAAAAGGATGAATTATTTATAAAAAGAGGCAAAAATATCACATGATAACACCCTCGTTTCTGGCGGGGAGTAAAATGAGCTGCAGCTGGTGCTGTGTCAGCTCCACAGGCGAGGTGCAGAGAGCAAGCGGAGGATGGGCTTGATCCTCTGATCCCTTGAGAGGGCCTGATGTCTGAGATGCAGCCTGTCCCCCTCCAGGATGGAGGGAGAGACCTTTAATTCTCATTCTCTCTCTCACTCATCACTCATTTTCTCTCTCTCTCTTTTTCTGTCTCCCTCTCTCTGGCAAACTTGGGAAGGCAAAGTATGGAGACCTTTTATAAGCTCAAGTGTGCGCAGAAGCTGGTTTTATGGAATTATTTGTATACACTAATTCTGCCAGCCTCAGTTTCTTCATCTGTGACAGGAGGTGATAACCGTATTTTCTCCTTAGGCCTGATGTAAAGCGCCTGACGCTAAGTAAATGCTCAATAAATATTAGCTAGTATTCAAGCTTGCCTGGCTGCTCAGAGACACAGAGGGGCGGGGTGAGCGAGTGGGCTGAGGAAGGACTGGAGAATATAAAGGCAAGGGGCTGCATTACCTGAGGGTAGAGAGGTCAGCTGAGCTGACCGGCTCTTCCTGGTTTGTCTGGGACTAACCTGCTTTTAAAAACACAGTCCTGCATCCTTGGAAATCTCTCAGACCCAGGCAAAACCAGAGGGTTGGCCGCTGTCCTGAGTTAGGTTAGGATGAATTGTCCCTCGTTTATTTTTCCTCGGTCTCAACTGAATGCTGTGTTACTGTACCAGGGTTCCATCATGTGTGTGCACAGGCAGGGACAAGAGAGCCACCTGACACACCCTGTGTCGCTCTGCCTGACTCTGGCCACCCCACCTGTCTGTGTTGTGACACAGTATTGTAACAAAACTGCCAGGCCCAGGGTTCCCCTGCCTACTCTGCCTTCCACCCAGTGGGGTTGTGCGGAGCCTCCCAGCAGGCCCAGGAAAGGTGGGAGGAAATTGTGCAAAGACTTAAGACAAACGAGGGAAATCCAATTCCTTTTATTATGTGGATGATAACAACTGTGTGTAAAGGAGTCTGTCTGAGAAGTGGATTTGATCATGACATTTACTAGTATTTGGGGCCTGCGTTTTACACGAGTGCTTGCGGCCTGCACGCAGGAGGTTTCACTGGGGTTGCAGAGGGTTCTCCCACTACTCAGCTCTACTTTTCCAAACGTACTCTCTGATATTCCCAGCACCGTGGAGCGAGACGGGGTATTTCTAATGGAGCAATGCCTCACTGTCTTTGGAGACAACCCCAGTCTCGCTTAGGAGTTGGAAAGACTGAGCTCGGGGTCTGTGCCCTGGTGCTGGTCTGGCCCCAGACACTGTAGGACCCCGCAGGTCTTCATTTCCTTGCATGTCAACCGGGGAGGCTATGATGGGGTACAGAGGGTTGCTGTGAGGACTAATGAGACACATGTGAGGTGAGTGTGGCACACAGTGGGCATGCAGCCAACATGAGTTCTTGCATCTGAACGTCTCTAGCAATGATTGTGGAATATACTCAGGACGGATCCTCTACTCCTTCTCATCCTTTTCTCTTGGGTCTGGAAATTTTATTTACTAGTGATTAGCTCAACAGTCAACATGTCTTGTCTGCAAATCAGAATGGCTGTGCTTAAGGCTAAAGGCCACATGCAATATATTTATTCCTTTCCCGAAAGTGTCCAGCCCGTAACAGGGGCACAAAACGTATCTGTTGCTGTGGGAAGAAACCTTCCAGATGACGAGTGCTAGTGACGTCTAGGAAGAAATGAAAGATGGGCTGGAACACTCCGTGGGGTTGCTCGCTGGGTTTCTGGCTGAGTCGTCTTGGACTTCCCCTCCACTCCTTTGCTGTGGGTCCCCCTCAGGTAGATGTGTAGTCAGCAGCTTCTCCAAATTGGAACAGAAATAACTCTCCAAGGGCTGAAGGGGATTTCCTTACCAGGCCAGACCTTTCTTCCACTGCCCATGCACATGTGCCTCTCTCAGGTCCCTAAATTGACAAGCCTCTGTTTCCCCCTCTGTAAAATAGAGATGCTAATGCCTATTTCCCATAGGGTTGAAAGGTATGTGTGATTATGCCTGCAAAGCTCAATGCATGGTGGACGTTGTTATCTGGAATTTCCTTACCCCTCTTCAGTCTACCCTTAAAAATTATTTTCCCTACACTGTGTCAGCAGTATGGGGTGCAGCGGGAACTGAGAGTCTGCCTCTCACATTCTCCTTACGCATGCTCCAGAGTTTGATCTCTGGTCATCTTTGTAAGCCCTTTGCCTGAGGGTATGTTAAAAACAAAGGTGAGTCATGTCATATTCATTTTAGGAAATAAAATAGTTAAGATTAATATATGTACTGCATGTAAGAAAACTGCCAAATTAGTACATATTTATTACAGAGCCTAGAGTCTGTTGCAGTAAAGTCTGATGCAGTAAAGACAACACAAATGCCCCATGATCACACATCTAGCGATAATTGCTATTAACATGTTGTTATATTTCCGGGGCTGGGCACTGTGGCTCATGCCTGTAATCCCAGCACTTTGGGAGGCCTAAGTGGGCGGATCACTTGAGCCTAGAAATTCAAGACCAGCCTGGCCAACATGGTGAAAGCCCGTCTGTACTAAAAATACAAAAAATTAGCCAAGTGTGGTGGTGCGTGCCTGTAATCTCAGCTACCTGGGAGGCTGAGGCACGAGGATGGCTTGAACCTGGGAGGTGGAGGTAGCAATGAGCCACAATCGGCCACTGCACTCCAGCCTGGGCGACAGTGAGAGACTCCATCTCAAACCAAACCAAACCAAACCGAACCATGTTGGTATATTTTCTTCCAATATATTTTCTTGTGTCCTTCTGTTTTAAGTCAGCTGCTAGTCACAGAGAATGGAGAATGTCTGTCTTCCAAACAGTTAGGTTACTTCACTGAGACCTATTTCCTCTGGGCTACATATGTATAAAACAGCAAATAGGTGAGAGGTGTCCAAAGGGTGTTCCTGCTCTGAATTCCAAGGTGGTTTAGGCATTATTAACTCAGGGATCTGGTTTTGCTCCATAGCTGTTGTCTCCTGGAGGTGTCCCAGCCAGGGCATCAGAAACTCCCTCCCTCAGATATTGGTGAACCTTGAAGGCTGGAAAAGTGATTTATAGTTAAATGCCATTTCAGTGATCCTTCTTCATTGCTCTGATATTTTATTAATAATTAACATTTGCTGAGCACTTAACCATTGTTTAGATATTTTGCTAAGCATGTTCCAAGTATTAACTTATTTGGTCCTTGAAATACTCTCATGAGATAGGTTCTCTTATTAGCCCTATTTTACAGATGAGGAAACTGAGGCATAAGGTTTAAACAAGATCACACAGTTAGTGGTGTACTGGAATTAAATGACTTGTATTTATTGTGCATATATGAATGTATGTACAGTATATAGAAAATATGTATAAATTTCTCTCTTCTACCTATATGCCCATCTATCACCTCTCTATCGTTTATCTCTAACATCTATCTATCTATCTTTATATCTCTCTCATCAATATCTACCCACCTTGGCTGGGCATGGTGGCTCATCCCTGTAATCCCAGCACTTTGGGAGGCCAAGACAGGAGGATCACTTGAGTCCAGGAGTTCAAGACCAGCCTGGGCAACACAGCGAGACCCTGTCTTGTATTTATGTATTTATTTTTAAGAAACTATCTACTTCCTTTTTTGATCTAATTATTTCTGAAGAATTTTCCTCTGTGTTTGAAGTGGCCGTTTACTAGTTTTGGCTTTGGCTACCCGCATCCAGATGTCCTTATTGTGGTGGACTCCTCAGTGGTGTGATCCTTGGTGGAGGAGGACCCCTGCTCTTCCCGTTTGGAAGATGAAGAGGGTGGGATATGCCCTCTCCCCTTCTCGGACAGTGCCACGTGACTGGGGTAGCCAATCAGGTGCTGCGTTTTAGGACCTTTAATTTCAAGCCAGTGATGCAACTCACAGGAAGTTAAGGAGACACTCTTCCAGCCCCGGCGCCGTGGCTCACGCTTGTAATCCCAGCACTTTGGGAGGCCCAGGCGGGCAGATCACTTGAGGTCACGAGTTTGAGACCAGTCTGGCCAACATGGTGAAACCCTCTCTCTACCAAAAAATACAAAAAGTGGTGGCACGTGCCTGTAGTCCCAGCTACTCAGGAAGCTGATCTGAGGTGGGAGAATCGCTTGAACCTGGGAGGCAGAGGTTGCAGTGAGCCGAGATCCGAGATCACGCCACTGCACTCCAGCCTGGACAACAGAGTGAGTGAGACCTTGTCTCAAAAAAATAAAATAAAATAAAATAAATAAATAAATAAATAAATAAATAAATAAAAATTCACTCTTTGAGCCGTGGTCACAGCAGTGGCATCTACTGTCTGGTGGCTTTAGGAGTCAGTGGTAATGGCGGAGCCCACGAGACATCTGCTGGACAGTGCTGTTTCCTAACCAGATCCTTCCTGGGTCTGATTTGGGCTTTGATTCTACAAATCCAGACAGACTCAGTTCCTTGTTTCTTGCTTGTTGGAATGGGCGTTGTAGCCTATTCAGTATCTATGTCTTCCCCTTCCTTGTTCCTAACACAACCTTTTCTTTTTCTTTAATTTTCCTAGGGGGGCGCCCCAACCCTAGTTCCAAGGCAGGTCTAGTCCAATCAGGGCATGATAGCCCCCTGGCTGTAACTCAAGATGGACCCATCAGACTGAGAGGAGGGTTTATGTTCCATAGTTGGAAAAAGTATTTTCCTCTCTCACCTGCTATATGTGAGCAAGAAAGCATTCCACCCTGATTGCCACTCCAGCCATCCTTGTGGATCTTGTGACCAGGCGGCCACCCTTCTAAGGTTGAAGTCAGTGCTGCGGCCAGCAGTGGAGAGATGGAAAGATCCAGGACCCTTGACATCATGCACATGGCTGAATCAACCAATCCTAAACCTCTCCTCCCAGGCGCTTCCTTTATGTGCAAGAAGATATTTCATTTTTATTTTTTATTTTTGGTACAATGTGATTTAAAAAAACATTTTATGTAAACAATTTCAAAATATTATGGGTACATCATATTCATGTGTATATTCATGGGGTACATGTGATGTTCTCATCACATGTGTAATAATCACATCAGAGTAATTGGGGTGAAATGTCCTTTTTTATTTAAGTCAGTTCAAGTGAGTTTTCTGTTTCTTATAGCAGAAAATATCCTAATTGGTTTGCTTGTTTGGTTTGGTTTTGTTTCCCTAAGCCTGTTTCTCTGAAGTCAGCATTTCTTAGATAACTTTTTGGTCTCAGGAATCCTTTCCATGCTAAGAAATATTGAGGACCTCGAAGAGCTTTTGTTTATTTTGTTTTATATCAATAAACATATTGATATTTGCTGCATTATAAATTAAACTGAAGTCTAAAATATTTAAAAACAAAAATAACACATTAACATCAATAAGATATTTTTTGGCTGGGTGCAGTGGCTCATGCCTGTAACCCCAGTGCTTTGGGGGGCTGAGGCCAAAGGATGGCTTAAGGCCAGGAATCCAAGACCAGCCTGGGCAACATAGCAAGACCCTGTTTCTACCAAAAAAGAATGAGAGATATTTTAATGAAAAATAACTAATTTTCTAAAACAAAAATGTTAGAGAAAAGCATGCCTTTCTTTAACATTTTTTTGCAAATCTCTCTAATGTCTGGCTTAATAGAAAATAGCTGGATTCTCACATCTGCTTTTGCATTCAATCTGTTGCAGTTTGTTGTTTTGGTTGAAGAACATGAAGAAAATCCAGCCTCACCTTGATATTTAGTCAGAAAAGGGAGGAAAATTTTAGTAGCCTTTTCAGGTAGTTGTGGAGATTCTTCTTTGATACTATACCAAAATTTGCAGGTTGTAGTTTCTTAAAGATTATTTGCAATGTGGAATATGAAACCATAGTAATGAATATTTTATATTTTGTTTCATCAGAGTCTATTGGTCTGTCTTATACTTTGAGTGGATCATTTACTCAGAAATGATTTTGTAACACTGTGCATTGGCCATTTGGAAAAATTTATGCAGATATGTCAAATTTTGATATGTTTCATTACATAATATAAAAAACCCATACTTTTAAATATCGCCACCAAGATCATCAGAAAAATTTTGAAGCATTGGGAAGCTGTCAAGCTCATAGCAAAAACATCCCAATTGACAAGTTTTCTTAAAAATTCCAATTTTCACCTGAAGGCTTGTATTTTATCATTGGCTACAATACTGGCAGTGGGTGTCCTTGAAATGACAGCCTCATTTTGCTCATTTTTGAGAAAATGCCTGCCAAAGACCAAGTGTAAAGTTTGTCAGTCACTCTCTTGATTAAAAATGGTCTTCCGTGAAAAAAGTGGCTAGTTCAGTTTGCAACTCTAGGAATTGTAAACATGCTTTTTCTTGAGTCAGTCATTATGCATGAATGTACAGCAGAAGTGATTTATTCCTATTTCCCATTTTATCATGTATAATATTAAAATGATCTTAAGGTCAAGATTTAATAATTTAATGGCTACCTCAAGGGCATTCTAAAGTGAAACTGATTTTTTTTTTTCCTATAGTGTATAGTTGTGAAGAATACAGCGACTATGAATATTGTGTACCTCGATTTGTGCTAAGGCACCATCAGTTTTCCTCACTGTTGCTTTTGCACTATTAGTGCAAATGTCAACATAGTGAAAAAGACACATAACATCTTATTATCATTATTGAATTAGTTTTCACTTTGAAGATTCCCTGAAAGGGTCTCAGAGACCCCAGGAGTCCACAAATCCCACTGTTAGAACTTCTGCTTTGGCTTACAGTCAATTCTGGAAGCAACATGACATGCTTCCAATAATCTCCCCTTCTCTGAAATCAACCAGATTTGGTTTTGTTGCCCGTTTACCATGTTAAAAATGTCCTTGTTTATGGTTATTTGAATTAAAATGTTTTTAAAGAACTCTAATTGAGGGCAATTTTTAAGTAAGCAAATGATTAGAAGGAAAGATTCTAAAGTTTCACGTTATGAAAAAAGTCTAACATTTATGCTTTCTACATTCTTGATGTTAGCATTAAACAATCAAGCATTGTTTAATGACTGATGTAGACCATCAGTCCACAAATTGTGGCAAAATAAGGAAAACAGCACTAATATTTTCTCTGTCCTATGGAAGCTTCCAGTGGCCTTGAGCTGGGTACTATTTGTCCCTACTTCAGATTTTTTTTTTTTTTTTGAGACAGAGTTTTGCTTTTGTTGCCCAGATTGGAGTGCAATGGCGCGATCTTGGCTCACCGCAACCTCTGCCTCCCGGGTTCAAGCGATTCTCCTGCCTCAGCCTCCCGAATAGCTGGGAATACAGATATGCACCACCACACCCAGCTAATTTTTATTTTTAGTAGAGACGGGGTTTCACCATGGTCTCGAACTCCTGACCTCAGGTGATCCACTTACCTTGGCCTCCCAAAGTGCTGGGATTACAGGCGTAGCCACCACGCCCAGCCTATTTCAGATATTAAAAACCTGGTATTCAGTGGTTAAATACTTGGCCAAGGCCATTCAGTGGTCAAACCTTTCATCCTGGCTAAGAGGCTCAAAGCCCAGGACCTCTTTGCTGTATCGTGCAGGAATTTCTGATAAGTACAAAAATAAGAGGCTGTGATAGCTGAGGTTTATGCCTTGGAGAACAGTTCTCCAAAATCATGGAATCAGAGGTGTTTCTTTAAAAACTTACTTTTATATATTCTATCATACTGATATGATGATGTTGACTCTCTACTAATGCAACATTTTTAACATACCAGAAGGTGATATTTCAGAGTTAGAAGAGACCTAAATCATGTGATCTATCCATATCTCTTATCACTGGGGCATATTTAACATGGAATGCATATTTAACATGCATTTCAGAAGTACCTTCTGGATGATGACTTCTGATAATCTGATTGTTGTCCATCCCCCCAGATCAAAATGAATTACACTGTAGGTGGCAGGCAGCTTCTAGGATGGCCCCAATGATCCCTGCTTCCTGATATTCATACTGTTGTGTAATTCCTTCTCCTTGAGTGTGGATAAAACCTGTGACTTGCTTCTAACTGATAGAATATGACAAAGGTGTGAGAATGTCACTTCTGTGATGAGGTTTCATAAGACAGTGACTTCTGTCTTGGTAGGTGACTCTTTCTATTGCTATCTTGACTTGCATACTTTGATGAAGCAAGTTGCTATGTTGGAAGGGCCCCATGCCAAGGAACTGAGGGCAACCTCTGGCCAACTGCCCCAAGGAAACTGAGGCTCCAGTCCAACAGCCAGTGCAGGGCTGAATCTGGCCAAAAAATGCTGATTGAGCTTGGAAGCAGATCCTTCCCCAGTTGAGCCTTCAGAGGAGACCCCAGCCCCAGCTGACACCTTGATTGCACCTTTGGGAGAGGCTCTGAAGCAGAGAACCCAGGTAACCTATGGTCAGTTTCCTGACCCACAGACTGTGAGATACTAAATGCATGTTGTTTTAAGCAGCTAGGTTTTAGGGCAATTTGTTATGCTGCAGTAGACAACTAATACACTGTACTATATTTGTCTCTTTTTCCAGCAGGACCAGAAATGGGCTGTTTAAGGTCCCTGGGACCTTGTCATGTCATGTGTATTTAACTGTTTACCCACCACCGAAAAGCTTCCTGCCAGGACCCATCTGCAGTGTAAAAGGGGAACCCTGAAGCCCTGGGAATGGCTCCTAGTACTTCAGGTAGGGGCTCTGTGTCCCCATCAGTTTCCACCTTTGGGCCTCCCACTAGAACTTCCTTAATTGTCTTTCTCCACCTAAGCATCATTTAGCTTACAAACCAGAGGCAGCAAGCCAATTATTCCCCGGAGAAACTTCAGCCAGGCAGGGGGGCATTAACCACACCAACTGGTGTTCCACAACAAAGGTATGAGAGGCAGAGATTCACATCCCAGTCCGGTTCGTAAGCAGAGGCGCATGAAATAAGAAACCCCTTTTGAGAAAGAGGGAAATTAGGGGAGATACTGAAATTATGCGTTGCATAGGACATCAGGCAACCACTTCACTGTCGGCTTCAGTTTTTGATCTGCAAGATGGGAGTCTACTTCTAGGTCCCATAGTTTTTGATTCTTAGTCTGACACAATGTGGGTTGCTGTGAGCTGGCTCTTTGGGTGCCAAGTCAGCTATCAAATGTGGGTAACAGAATACCTGTCTTCAAAGGGGGTTGTAGAATTAAATGAAATAAATAAAACACGTGAAACGTGTAACACAGGGCCAGCCCAAGTGTCATCGTGGCAGTTGCTGCTTCACCACGGGGTCTCAAGTCCCGAGGAATTGGGGTCGCGGGCGAGCGGAGCGCAGCCGGGACCCAGGCCGGGTGGCCTGCCCCGCCCACGTGGGGCCGCGGCCCGTCGAATGACTCCTTGCAACGTGTTGGTGGTGGCGGCGGCGGTGGCGCGGGCTCTTCCGGGCGCCGCAGCTTCCTGCCAAGCACCGCGCAGCCGCCTCCGCCGCAGGATCCCCCGGTGCAGGCCTCCGTGCTGGTGCGGATCCTGGAGCTCAGCCGCGCGCGCCCTGCCCGATCCTGTGCCGACCCACCGCACTATGCGCGCCGTGCCGCTGCCCGCCCCGCTCCTGCCGCTGCTGCTGCTCGCGCTCCTGGCCGCTCCCGCCGCCCGCGCCAGCAGAGCCGAGTCCGTCTCCGCGCCGTGGCCCGAACCCGAGCGCGAGTCGCGGCCACCGCCCGGCCCGGGGCCCGGGAACACCACCCGGTTTGGGTCTGGGGCGGCGGGCGGCAGCGGCAGCTCCAGCTCCAACAGCAGTGGCGACGCCTTGGTGACCCGCATTTCCATCCTCCTCCGCGACCTACCCACCCTCAAGGCAGCCGTGATCGTGGCGTTCGCCT
The DNA here is from genome assembly GCF_000001405.40 of Homo sapiens. NCBI lineage: Eukaryota > Metazoa > Chordata > Mammalia > Primates > Hominidae > Homo > Homo sapiens. The sequence goes on along the minus strand of NC_000015.10, from coordinate 92,655,358 downwards.
TTACCACCCTCCTCATCGCCTGCCTGCTGCTGCGCGTCTTCAGGTGGGCCCTCCCGCCCTCTTCCTTCCCCCGCCGGCCGACAGGGCGGCATCGCCAACCTGCTGTCGCCGCGCGCCCGCCCCACCTGCACGCACAGGTGCCCTGGTGCGCCCCAGCCAGCCGTGTGCCTCCTGCCCTGCCCGGGAGAGTGGGTGGGGGGCCGGGGTGTGCTCGTCTGGATTTTCCTGGTACATGTTTTAGGAATTTTCTTTCCTCTCTTTAACTATATATATAAAATAAATATGTGGTTCCCATTTGTTGGCTTTCTGCTAATGCTGAACACTAACAATAGCGCTCTGAATTCTGACAGCGTTTCCCATAATTTATTTTTATAATCATTTCACAGATGAGGAAAACATTTTCAGAGAGGCAAAATGGCTCATCTAAGGTAAACTCAGTGGTGGAGGTAGGACTTGAACCCAGGCCTGTCTAACTTTAATCTCGCTACTCCCTCTCCCTTCTACCATCTGCAGCTCCCTCACGCCCCGCCTACTTTTTCTTCTTCTTCTTCTTCTTCTTTTTTTTTTTTTTGCTACTGAAAGAAGCAGTTTCTAGTGTGGGGGGTAGTAGAATTGCCTCCAGAATTACGCTGGAGGGGTGCTTTGCACCAGGGGTTGGAGCTGAGCTTCAGGATTCTAGGCGACCCTTGGTGGCCTCCCTTATTTTCTGTTGGTGGGGGACACAGACGGCTTTCCTAGGCTCCTGCCTAAGTTGCGCTAGATGAACATTCACAGGGGCATGAGGGATCTTGGAGAGCCTTTTGTAGGTTGCTCACGTTCAGGGATAAAGTGTCTGGTAAATTAGGAAGGATGTCCCAGGTCCTTGATCCCTGTCCATCCTGGTGGACAGGGCTAAGAGGAATGCAAGGACATTTCCTTTAATGCCTGGGAAATCCTGTTTTTGCAGGAAATGAACCAAACCTGTCCTGTTACTGAGGCCCGCCTGGAAGTCTGGGTGTGTGTGTCAGCTGTTCACTGCTGCCTCCCTCTGCTTCCAAGCGTACACACAGTGCTTTGGTGTTTGATCAGCTGTGGCAGGTTGGGCTTCAGGGCTTGCTCTCCTGGTAGCATTTTCAGTGCAACAGCAGAAACCAGACCAGGAAAAGGCAGAGTTAGGAGCCATCTATGTATTGAGCTTTGCTGTCAGTTGTGTGTGACTTTGAGTCCAGGTGTTTTCTTCTGTGTCTGTAGGATTAGATGCCAGTGGTCTGAGAAAATGGAGAAAGGGGAAGTATGGTCCCACGCTCACCTCACCATTCCCTGCCTTGTCTCAGGCCACATCGTTCCTCACTCTGCTGGTCTCCTTGATGTTCTCTGGGTTGAAATGCTCCTGTCTTCTTCCCACTCTACCCACTGGCCTCAATCCTCTGTTTACAAACTCTAGCAGCTCTCTGTGGCCACTACCTAGGCATGGCAATACCTGGGTGTGGCATTTGGGGCCCTTGCAAGCTGGCCCCCGTCTGCAACGCAGACATCAACCAGCGCTTCTGAGCCTAGTACCTTGTCACTTGCTCCTTATGCTCTGTGGTTTCCCGCTTCTAGCCTAATTCTTGCCTCTATATTCTACAAGTGCGTGCAGCCACCAAGGCCCAGCTCCCATCCTCCTTCCTCTGTATAGTTTTCCTGGACATTTGAATGAGGCTGTCACTATTTTCTGACCTCCTCATCCCTAATCTGTGCATCCTTCAGTCCAACCATGCCATGCTGGCTTCTGCACTCAGCAGAGGGCCCTTGAGGTTGGGAAGTCCAGTTCATCTTCGTGTCTCCATGCCCGATGCGGGCCTGCCATTCAGCAGAGGTGCCATTGTCATCTACGGACTTCCTGATTGTTCAGTTGGAGTGAAGGTTAATGCCTAGAGCAGCTCTGAGTCTGGAGGTTTGAAACATTTAGCTCAAAATAGGCCCTGGAGTCCACAAGGC